>NC_000006.12:95828365-95979880 GCF_000001405.40 Homo sapiens | reverse complement strand
AAAAAAAAATTAAGTTGCTGAAAGCTAAAAAAAAAAAAAAAAAGTGATGACATTTAAGAAATGAGGTTGAAAGCCTCTAAATAGTCAGAGGCTAAATGAAGAAAGATGTATATTGCAACACTAAATCTAACTTTTTGGAAAACCTCTAATGTGGCTACTCTCACTGGCCCAGGAGGAATATTTTCAGAAATCTAGACAGGAATCAAATCATGTATTTCAGCTGAATGGGATTGTTCTTTCGCATATCCATCAGAAGCTTTTAAAATTGTACTGAGGCTACACTCTACTGACTAAATATATGCACTTTTTAGTCTTGACTTTGGAATATTAAAACAATTCCACTTATACGATTTTTTATTACAGTGGCTATATCTAACAACCCTGGAAAAAGAGATCAGACTTTCAGAATTCAAATGGCTCAATTTGATGAAAATCTATCGTAACAGTTTCCATAAGCACTAATGCTAGCACTTTCAGGACTTGAAAAACTGACAAATCAAGTCAAGCACAGTTCTTTTTTAAAGACTTAATTGTATTTTTAATTGACAAATAATAATTGTAAAATTCCACTTCTGGATATATGTCCAAAGAAATTGAAATCAGTATGCCAAGATATATCTGTACTCCCACATTCACTGTAGCATTATTTACAATGGCAAACAGTTCTCTTATGGCCTGATTTCTTTGCGGTTGTATAGATATGGACAAACATTAATTTAGCTGTAGCGTAACTTTTAAATTTAATTATCCTATGTTCCTCCCATAACGAGGTTGAAAGAAAAACATAAAGAAGTGGGAATCATGCAAATGAATAAACATGATTTCCACAGGGTGGGAAAGGTAATCCTCTAGAAACTGGCTATTTATTTTATTTGCGCTTGCTCATTTATCCATTTATTTATTTGTTCTTTTATCAATGATTATGGATTCTGTATTCCCACTACTGAATTAAGCACTGGAGATTCCTATATGAAGAAAACAATGTACTTTGGAAGAGATAGAGAGGTTGATTTTTATGATAGTATGATATGCAGTAACATACAGGTTCTGTATTTGGGGTGGCAGTATTATTTAGTATTTCAGAACTTTAGCTCTCAAATAATAATGTATGGATTCAAAATCTGCTCCATATCTCATCAGCCAGGTGGTCTTGGACAAGTGTTTAATTCTTTGGTTCCAGTTTTCTCATCTGTTAAATAAGGATTATAACATTACCCATATTATTGAATTGTTTTGAGGCATAAATGAGGTATTATCTGTCTCTATAATAGTGTGTGACACATAATTGTATGTTAATGTTAACTATTGTTATTCGTGCTCTTGTTATGAAGGAATAATTGTGCTAAAAGGTGAAAGAGAGAGGATGACTAATGCAAGATGAGAAGAAAAGGGCATCATGACTAAGCAGAGAAGGGAGGGAAAGGCACTCCAAGTGGGAGATGGAGAGAAAATAGTGCAGAGCAGTAAGGTGTAGAGATGCAGAACAGGTTCAGAGAACAGTGACCTCTTATAATCAACTCGATGTGTAATGGTGAGTCATTTGAACTTTATCCTGAAAACTTTTAAACCTTACAAGAAAAGAAATAGCATGATTAGATTTGGATATCAGAAACATGGTATAGTAAATGATGTGGAAAACAAATCTGAGTGTGAGCAGATGAGATTAGAGAGACTTATGAGACAGACCTAATTGTCCAAGTGAGAAACTGAAGACATAAATTAAAGCTTAAATATTAAAGATTAAACCAGGCATATGGTCTACAAATTATGTATGACACATATGTGATGAAAAGGTGGGATTTAAAGCTCATGCCCAGATTTCCAGCTTGTGCAAATTGATGACAATGCTATTAGCCAAGATAGAGAATATAATAAATGCTTATTATAATATTTAATATTATTTAGTTCTTAATTTGTGTCAGGCTCAAGTTCTGCTCCAAATACTTTTTTTTTTTTTTGAGATGGACTCTTGCTCTATCACCAGGCTGGCATGCAGTGGTGTGATCTCGCTCACTGCAACCTCCGCCTCCAGGTTCAAGCGATTCTCCTGCCTCAGCCTCCCGAGTAGCCAGGACAACGGGCAAACACCACTATGCCCAGATAATTTTTGTATTTTTAGTAGATATGGGGTTTCACCATGTCAGTCAGGATGGTCTCGATCTCTTGTCCTCATGATCCGCCTGCCTTGGCCTCCCAAAGTGCTGGGATTACAGGCGTGAGCCACCACGCCCTGCCTCCAAATACCTTTTTTTTCTTTAAGACAGTCTCACTCTATTGCCCATGCTGGAGTGCAGTGGTGCTATCATAGCTTGCTGTAAACTGGAACTCGTGGGCTCAAGTGATCCTCCCATGTCAGAGTAGCTATCGTGTCCACCATCATGTACAACTAATTTTTTAACTTTTTTGTAGAAACAGGGTCTCACTATGTTGCCCCGGCTGGTCTTGAATTCTTGGCCTCAAACAATCTTTGCACCTTGGCCTCTTAACGTGCTGAGATTCCAAATATTCTTAATGCAATAACTCATTTAATTCTCACAACAATGCTACAAAATAATATTTTTCCATTTTACAGATAAGAAAATTGTAGGACATAAGAAATAAATAATTTTCCAAGGTCACATAGCTAGTGACCAGGAGAGTGGAATTGCTAATGTGGTTGAATAGTTGCAGAACTTATGCTTTTGAGCTCCATGCCACACAGCTCTGCTACTGAGAAGAGGAAAATTTGAAGGAGGAGTTGGCCTCTACGAAGATAGACAAGTCTTAACGTAAAGATTTTGGTTCTCTTTTGAAAAACATTCTATACAATTAGTATCAACACAGTGCTATATTAGTTCATTATTTTAATAACTAATCAGCTTGACTGTGTCTTCATTTTGTAAACATAGGTAAATATAAATCAAATACATATACATAAGTTTATGTATGTACATACGCACATATATACATATATATAAAAATATAACGCTTCTAAACAATGGACTAGTTACCACATCAAAATAATGTGGGCTTAGTTTAGAATGACTTATCCTTCATAAATATATGATTGTTTTTAGTGCTTAAACATTTTATTTTTAAATGTTTATACTATTATGTTAAGTTTTTCTTTATCTCCTCATGAATAGAGATTCTATTACGATTTCGCAGACCTATAGCTAATTAGATATTTATTTACTTGTGTGGATAGGGGATGGAAACTAAATATTATTTTACACATCTTACACCTATGTCTCAAGAAATCATAAGCATCTTCTCAAACTCCATACTGGCTTATTACTACATATTTGTGTTAATTAGATGAGTTTTATCTATAGTAATAAACTCTTAAATATGCTAATGAACAATTCTGTCTCTATATTATTTGACTGATACCATCATAGGTCCCATTGATTACACATTTCAAACTGTAAAATGTTAGGATGTCATTTTACTTAATAAATGACTGCATATATTGAAATAAACTCAAGGGCTAGGTAAATTTATAGATCTAATGGGAATTCCACTTTTTCTGGTTATGTAGCTTCCACAAGCTTTAATTCAGTGATTACACATTTCTTATTAGGTAAGCAAATCTGGGATACCAACAGCATGAATACAGGCCATGAAATGAATGAATGATTTTCTCAGATGATGTGAGGGGGCAACAAAACGTATAAATAACTATTATTGGTTTCAAATTATAATATTTATAATATTTATTATTAAATTAGTCTTTCAAAGTAGGACAGATAAAGAAAATAAAAATATAAGTTTAATTTTCTACATATCAAACAGAACTGCAAATGCATTCATTTATTAATGTTCTACTTGAGACTGCCAATCTTGTAGGTCCTCAGTTTTCTCTCTTATTCTCTACAGAAGTTATTTCAATCTTTTCTCTTCTCCCAGATCTTCTATGAAACCAGGTATTTGTTCATCATCAGATGATGATTTTACCTCATAAATTTTAGAGAAAATGGGAATCATAGGTAGGAATTACCTCACCTTCCTTTTTTCCTCTCAATAAAATTCAAGAAGTGTCTTTCCTCCCAGGGCCATTCTCTGAGGTAGTATTTCCTGTCTTCTCTTCCAGGAACATACTCCATCAATAGTCCCTCTTTCTCTATATTCATTGTCTCCCTTCCTGGTAACTGTTTCTCAACAACATTTAAAGCTTCTTGAATCTCCTTATCAATGTTAGTTTTCTAGGACTGCTGTAACAAAGTATCACAAAGGCAGAAATTTATGGTCTCACAATTCTGGGCTACCTCTTTGTAGCTTCTGGTGGTTTCCTGGTAATCTTTGGTGTTCCCTGGCTTGCAGACACTTAATTCACTTCTCTGCTTTTGATCTCCTGTGGTGTTCCCTGTGTCTCTGTTTTCACATGGCCATGTGCTTATGAAGATACAGTCATATTGGATGAGAGGCCAGCCCTACTCCAGTATGACCTCATCTTAACTAGTAACATCTGCAATAACCCTATTTCTAAATAAAAAGTCACATTGCAAAGTAGTGGGGGTTAGGACTTCAAAATATATATATATACTTTTGGTTGGGGACACAATTCATCCCATAACACTATCTTAATAAAGCAAAATACTAAACTTTCAACATTCTTTAACCAGACTTTCTGTTTCAGCCACCATTTTAATCTTTTCTTTCCTTTACAATCACACTTTCAAAAGTTTTGTAAAAAATTTTTGCCTTTATTTCCTCTCCAATCCATTTTTTTAATCAAGCTTATAACGAAAATTGTTTTTCCTTGTGTGTAAGTGTAATTTGCCCTGATTATGCAAAAATAACACTCGGACTGATAGTTCTATTTCTCAGTGGTAATTAATCTATTAACATTTTGATTTTATATATAACAATAAGCTATCATGTATTTGTCATCTAGTTCCAGATATGTTGGTAAATATAACTCATTTTATTCTATTTTGAAGATGAAAAATATACATAAATTTAATTTTATTGGCTTTGTTCACATGAGGCTCCCCACTGGGAAATATATTCTTTCTCAATTGCTGATAAAACTTGGTTTTAGGAAACCCATAAGCTTGGGATCCAGACTGAGAAAAGTGTGGTTAAATTCATCAAAATAATGTCACCCTTTAAGCTTCCTGGAGGACAGGCAGCTGGTTTTCTTCTAGACTCATTGTGCTTTATTTTGAGTCTAATGTTACATAATATATATTAGTCTGTGTGTGTATGTGTGTGTGTGTGTGTGTGTATCTATATATACACAAACATACTAATATTTAGTGTATTCAGGCCACCATTATATTCATTTATACAGGTTGAGCATCCCTAATCCGAAAATCTGAAATCAAGTATGGTCCAAAGAGCATTTATTTTCAGCATGAGGTTTGAATGTCATGTCTACACTCAAAAAGTTTCAGATTTTAGGTCATTTTGGATTTCAGATTTTCAGATTAGGGATGCTCAACCTGCGCTATGCCAACAATCTTCTAAGTGTCCTTTCTTCTAGCCTTACTCTTTTCCAATCAAAATAACAATAAACAAACACAATAGAACATTCTCACTTTACCTAATAATAAAATAAACATAGAATATAAAGAAGTTTAAAAATTCACGTATCACATTGGCATAGATAACAAGTATTAATAATACTCAGTCTTGGCAAGATTTTAAATACTGTTAGTTTAAGTGTTGATGTCCTGGAGGATCATTGGCAAATTACAGAACCAGTATAACTGGTTTTTCATTTGCCAGTGAATACTGTTGAGCAGTCCCATCAATAAGTGTTTCCTGAGACAAAAATTTCATAACCTCTTATTATTTCTGAAAGCCACCCCGCCCCCACCATCAATTCCTCCTCACTCTCAGGAAATTACTTGTAAGAAAATGAAGCAGTGTTCTGTCGTTAGAAAGACAACTTTCTAATGGTCTACAATTACTTTTGTCTTTTGTTCCCTGTTATTCTCAGTTGGACAGGGACATCCTTTGCAATTTCATTTTATTTTTCCTTAATCATTAATGCCCTTCTTCAGAAGATGAATCTCAACAACACAAATATACTCAACACTTCTTGTCTTTTGTTTTAAACTCAATTTGTGTATTTATCCATTTCCAATTTACATTCCCATTTGTTGACTCTTCCTTATAACAAAACTTCTTAAAATTTGTGCATGAAGTGTGCTTTTTTCACTATTAACTCTTTTTATTTTTTTCCAACCTTATTAAAGAACAAATAAGAATGAAATTGTATATAGTTACAGTGTACAACATGACGTTTTGAAACATGTACACATTGTGAAATGATTTCTGTAATCAAGGTAATGAACAAATCCATCACCTCACCTAGTTTTTTTCCCAGTGAGAAAACTTAAGATCTAGACTCAGCAAATTTTGAGTATAAAATACAGTATTATTAACTAAGGCCACTGTCCTCTACATGAGATCTTTACAACCTATTCATCCTGCGTAACCAAAAATTTGTACCATTTATCCAACATGTTCTCATTCTCCCCACCTTCTTCCCTCTGGCAACTCATCATTCTTGTCCTCTGTTTCAATGAGTTTGCTTTTTTTATATTTGTCATAGGAGTGAGACCATGCAGTATTTGTCTTTTCATGCATGACTTATTTTACATAGATTAACATCCTCCAGGTCTATTTATCTCATCACAAATGACAGCACTGTCTTCTTTTTTAATGGCTAAATAATATTCCATTGTGTGTGTGTGTGTGTGTGTGTATGCATATGTGTGTGTCTTTTTGCTTATAAGTGTTTTGGTATTTGGGATATTTTGTGGTTCTATGTTATATATATACATTTATGTATAATTTTCTTTATCTGTTTATCTCTGTTGAATGATTAGGTTGATTTCATATCTTGACTATTCTGAATAATGCTGCAATTAATATAAGAGTGCAGATATCTCTTCAATTTACTGACCTTATTTTCTTTGGATTATATACCCAGATGTGGGATTGCTGAATCATATAATACTTCTATTTTTAATATTTTGAGGAACCTCCATATTGTTTTCCATAATAGCTGTCCTAATTTACATCCCCAGAAACAGTGTACAAGTTGGCACACAACTGTCCATTTTCCCCACATTCTTACCAACACTTATATTTTCTAGTTATTAATAATAGATATTCTAATAAGTGTGAGATTATCCCTCATATGATTTTTAACTTGCATTTCCTTGAAAGTTAGTGATGTGGAGCATTTTTCTTTCATGTTCCTGTGGCCATTTGTATGTCTTCCTCGGAGAAATGTCTATTCAGGTCCTTTGTCCATTTTAAATTGGATAATTTGTTTCCTTGCTATTGAGTTGTATATGTTCCATAGATATTTTGGGTATCAACCCCTTATAGGACATATGGATAGCAAATATTTTCTCCCATTCCTTAGATTGTCTGTTGACTTTGTAAATTGTTTCTTTGGCTGTGTACAAGCTTTTTAGTTTGATGCAATCCCATATGTTTATTTTTACTCTTGTTGTCTGTGCTTTTGAGACAATATCCAAAAAATCATTGCCCAAACTAATGTCAAGAAATTTTTCCAAAGACTTACATGTTAGACCTAAAACCATAAAAACTCTAGAAGAAAACCTAGGCAATACCATTCAGGACATGGGCATGGGCAAGGACTTCATGTCTAAAACACCAAAAGCAATGGCAACAAAAGCCAAAATTGACAAATGGGATCTAATTAAACTAAAGAGCTTCTGCACAGCAGAAGAAACCACCATCAGAGTGAACAGGCAACCTACAGAATGGGAGAAAATTTTTGCAATCTACTCATCTGACAAAGGGCTAATATCCAGAATCTACAATGAACTCAAACAAATTTACAAGTAAAAAACAAACAACCCCATCAAAAAGTGGGCGAAGGATATGAACAGACACTTCTCAAAAGAAGACATTTATGCAGCCAAAAGACACATAAAAAATGCTCATCATCACTGGCCATCAGAGAAATGCAAATCAAAACCACTATGAGATATCATCTCACACCAGTTAGAATGGCCATCATTAAAAAGTCAGGAAACAACAGGTGCTGGAGAGGATGTGGAGAAATAGGAACACTTTTACACTGTTGGTGGGACTGTAAACTAGTTCAACCATTGTGGAAGTCAGTGTGGCGATTCCTCAGGGATCTAGAACTAGAAATACCATTTGACCCAGCCATCCCATTACTGGGTATACACCCAAAGGATTATAAATCATGCTGCTATAAAGACACATGCACACGTATGTTTACTGCGGCACTATTCACAATAGCAAAGACTTGGAACCAACCCAAATGTCCAACAATGATAGACTGGATTAAGAAAATGTGGCACATATACACCATGGAATACTATGCAGCCATAAAAAATGATGAGTTCATGTCCTTTGTAGGGACATGGATGAGGCTGGAAACCATCATTCTCAGCAAACTATCACAAGGACAAAAACCAAACACCGCATGTTCTCACTCATAGGTGGGAATTGAACAATGAGAACACATGGACACAGGAAGGGGAACATCACACACTGGGGACTGTTGTGGGGTTGGGGGAGGAGGGAGGGATAGCATTAGGAGATATACCTAATGCTAAATGATGAGTTAATGGGTGCAGCACACCAACATGGCACATGTATACATATGTAACAAAACTGCACGTTGTGCACATGTACCCTAAAACTTAAAATATAATAATAATAATAATAATAAAAAGAAATTTTTCCTTAAGTTTTCTTCTAGAAGTGTTACAACTTCAGATCTTTAATTACATTTAAGTCATTACACTTTAGTTACATTTAAAGTATTAATACATTTGAATTGATTTTTGTGTATGTTATGAGATAAGGGTTCAATTTCATTCTTCTGTATACAGACATACAGTTTTCTTAATGTCATTTATTGAAGGGGCTGTCTTTTACCCTTTGGGTCTTCTTAACACCTTTGTCAAACAGCAATTGACCATCATGTGTGGAATTATTTCTGAGCTCTGTGTTCTCTTCCCTGAGTTATAAGTCTGTTTTTATGCCGATATCATGCTGTTTTGATTGCTATAATTTTGTAGCATATTTTGAAGTCAGGTAGGGTGATGCTTCCAGCTTTTCTTTTTGTTCATCATTGCATTGGGTATTTTATAGTTTTGTGCAAATTCTAGGATTTTAAAAAATTTCTGTAAAAAATGCCATTGGAATTTTAATAGAGAGTGTATTGAATTGTAAATCTCCTTGGGTAGGGAGGATATTTTAACACTGATCACTTTAGTCAATGAACATGGGATATCTTTTCATTTGTTTGTGTCTTCTTCAATTTCTTTCATCAGTGTTTACAGTTTTCAGTGTATTGATCTTTCACCCCATGATTAAGTTTACTCCTCAATATTTATTTTTTTAATGCTACTGTAAATGAAATTTTATTCTTCTTGTCTTTTTCAGATAGTTCCTTTTTAGTGTACAGATTTGCTGTAGAATAGCTATAGATTTTTGGGTGTTGATTTTGTATCCAGCAACTTTACTAAACTCATTTAGTAGTTCTAACAGTGTTTTGGTAGAGTCTATGGGATTTTCTATGTATAAGATCATGTTTTCTGCAAACAATGATAATTTACTTCTTCCTTACTGATTTGGATGCCTTTTATTTTATCTTGCCTAATTGCTCTGGCTAGAACTTCCAGTACTATGCTAAATAGAAGTTGTAGTGTGGGAATAGGCACTCTTGTCTTGTTTCTCATCTTAGCAAAAAATCAACTTTTTACTCGAGTATGATATTAGCTGTGGGCTTGTTGTATATGGGCTTTCTTATGTTGAGGTATATCCTTCTATAACTAATTGGTTGAGAATTTTCACTATAATAGGACATTAAATTTCTGCAAATGCTTTTTCTGCATGGACTGAGATGATAATATGATTTTTATCTTTCATTCTTTTAATGCAGATGATCTTCTTTATTGGTTTGTGTATGTTAAAACATTCTTGTATCTCACAGATAAATCCCACTTGATCATTGCATGTGATCTTTTTAATGTGCTGCTGAATTTGGTTTTCTAGTATTTTGTTGAGGAGTTTTGTATGTAGGCTCATTAGAAATATTACCCTGTAATTTTCTTTCCTTTTAGTGTTCTTGCCTGGCATTGGTACCAGGGTAACGCAGGCCTTGTAAAATGAATTTGGAACTGTTTCCTACCCTTCAATTCTTTGCAGATTTTGAGAAGGACTGGCGATAATTCTTTAAATGTTCTGTAAAATTCACCCTTGAGCTCATCATCCAGTTTTGGATTTTCCTTTGTTGAGAGATTTTTGATTACTGCTTCAATCACATTTTTATTATTGTTCTGTTCAGACAAGGTATAAAGGTAGTCTTTTTATTTGAGATTTTTGAAAAAATGTAAACACAATTTTTAAAAAATTATTAACACTATAATTTTTTTAAAATTATAATTTTTTAAAGAAAATTACAGTGTTTATCACTATAGGCTTCCCTAGTAGAGGTGCTTTTGTTATCTCCCATAAGTTTTGGTGTGTTGTGTCTTTAGTTTTTACTGTTTCAAGATTTTTAAAATGTCTCCTTTGATTTCTTTTATGATCCTTTAGTTGTCTATAAGTGTGTTGCTTAATTTCCACATATTTACAGATTTTCCTATTATTGATTTCTAGATTCACATTATTATAGTTTGATTGATATGATTTTGGTCTTCTTAAATTTGTTAAGATTTATTCTGTGGCCTAACATATAATCTATCCTAAAGAATGTTTCATCCATATTTGAAAATAATGTTTTTACTCTGTTGCACGTTGATGGAATGTTCTCTATATATTTGTTAGGTGCATCTGGTCTATAGTGTTCTTCAAGTCCACTGTTTTCTTTTGATTTTCTGTCTGGATGACCCATTAATTGTTGAAAGTGGGGTAAGAAAGTTTCTTACCATTACCATATAGCTATTTTTTTCCTCCCATAATAAGTTCTGTTAATATTTTCTTTTATATTTAAAATATAAACTACATTTAAATTTATATTGAAAATATTTCAGTGCAACAATGTTGAGTGCAAACACATTAATAATTAGTATATCCTCTTGATACATTTATCCCTTTATTAATACATAATAACCTTTGGCTTGTGCCAGTTTTTCACTTAAATACTATTTTATCTGATATAAGTATATTCTCTCCTGCTCACTTTTGCTTGGGATATCTTTGTCCATCCCTTCATTTTAAACTATGTGTGTTCTTAAAGGTGAGGTGATTAGAGTTGGATCTTATTTTTTCATTCATTCAACCAGTCTAGAGGCTCTATGATTAGTGAATTTAATCCATTTACATTTCAAGTAATTACTGAAAGGTAAGAACTGACTACTGCAATTTTGCTTATTGTTTTCTGTTTGTAGTTCCTTTTTTTCTTGCATCTTCCTTTGTGATGTGATGATGTTTTTGTAGGGATATGCTTTGATTCCTTTTTCTTTACCTTTTACATATAATATTACATATAATTTTTCTAGCGGTTACCATGAGGCTTACATAAAACATCTTATCACTAAAGCAGTGTATTTTAGGCTGATAACAAATTAACTTTGACTGCATACAAAAACTGCACATTAACTTCTCCTTTCCCCATATTTTAAGTTATTAATATCAAAACTTACATCTTTTATATACAGTGCATCCATTAAAAATGTATTAAAGCTATAGTTATTTTTAATTCTTTTGTCTTTTAACTTTTATACCAGAGGCAAAAGTAATTTATTTACCACCATTATATTATAAGAATATTCTTAATTTGACTATATTTCTGTTTTATATTTGCCATTATTTTAACGGCAAAAACCACAACTACTTTTGCACCAATCTAGTACTAAATTTTATACTATAATATGTTTTCATGTTGTTAGTTAACATCTTTATCTTTTTAAACTTGAAGAACTCCATTTAGTGCTTCTTGTAATGCAGGTATAGTGGTGATTAATTTCCATGGCTTTTGTTTGTCTGGAGAAATTTTTTTCTCATTCATTTTTATGTCCAATGAACAACTTTGCCAAATACAATATTCTTGGTTAGCAGTTTTCTTCTCACAGCACTTTGAATACATTATCTCATTCATTCTTGGCTTGGAAGGTTTCTGCTGAGAAATCCACTGATAGTCTTATGAACATTCCCTGGTATGTGACAGATTGCTTTTGTTTTTTGTTGCTTTCAAAATTCTTTGACTTTCACTTTTGAAAATTTGATTAGAATGAGTCTCAGTAAGATGTCTTTCTGTTTAAGCTAGTTGAGGGCTTCATGGTCTCCTATAATAACAATGTCTTCTTTTGAAATACTCCCTAAAGGACCTGCCTGAGGCTGTTTTACAGTTAACTATTTTTTTAATCAGTAGAAGACATACTCTACTTTTTTTAATAAGTAGAAGACATACTCTAAAATGGCAATAAAATGTATAATATAGTAATACATAAACCCATAACATAGTCATTTATTAATATTATCATTATCAAGTATTATGTGTTATATTTTTAAAATACTTTCATACAATCATAACCACAAATGTGAGTAAATTCATTGTGCTACTATGTTAAGATGGCTATGATATCACTAGGCAGGAAGAATTTTTCAGCTCCATTTTTATCTTTAGGAACTGTTACTGACCAAAACATTATTACTGTATATTTTCTTTTTCTCTGAATGCTATTAAGATTTTCTTTTTGTTTTAGTTTTCAGTGGTTTGATTATGGTGTGAATAATCTGATTTTGTTTGTATTTATTTTGTTAGTAGAGCTTTAATAATTGATGGTTTAAATTCTTTCATCAGTTTTGAAAAATTTTTAGTGTGTCATTAAAAATTGCTACCATCCCCTGTACTCTTTCCTTCTAAGTTTCTAGTTACACAAATGTTAGAAATTTTCTTTCTTTTGTAATGCCTTTTATATAAGTTTTGAAATATGTGTGTTTTTGGTAGTTTTTGTAATTAATTAGTATTTAATTTCATTGTCACCAGAAAATAGCTGATATCATTATAATTCTTTGATATTTGTTATCAATTTATTGAAGTTAATTTTTTCATTAGTTATATATGGTACAAAATGTGCATTTAGGAATTTCATGGTGCAGGTTTTTATGTATTTTCATTACATTAAGTGTGTTAGCTGTTCAAATCTCTTGTAACAATTTTCAATTTTATCATTGTTCAATGTATTTATTATTCAGAAAGAAGTTTTACAATGTTTTGATTTCAGATTTGGAATTATTTTCATTATAATTCTGTAAATTTTACTTACATGTTTGGAGCTTATACTACTTGAAGAATACAAGCTTAAAACAGTTGTATCTCAACTCTGTCATTTATTTTACAAAATAAACTGTACTCTTCTATAATGTAGAGCTTTTCCCCAGTTACTGGAGTTCTTACTCCAAATCATAGTTCCCAATGGAAAAAAAAAAGATATTTACTTATTATACTTTAGCTACCAAATTCCCAGTAAGGAAATGCTTTATCAAATCTTATTCTGTGAGATTTTTCTGGCTTTATTGTTTTTGAACACTATTTTTCAATTTTGAAAGGTTATTTTATTTCACTGCAATTATTATTCTTTTGATACTCAACTTGTCACAACTTTAGTCTGTGAGGGCTTTTTATATGTGAGGGCTTTTTGCTTGTTGTTTTAATGTCACTTCATTAATTTTGAAGGCAACTAAATTTCTTGTAGAACAAGATACCCCAGCCTCACATAATTCTTTCTTTGCCCCAGACTAGGAAGCACCCATTGCTACAAGATGCTCTTGTTCTTTTAGTTTTTCCAAGATTGTGGGTTTTTTTTTCAATTCTTCACATTTATTTATTTTTACCTTCTTTTGTTTATTCTTTGCAAGATATATACTCATTTTAAACATAATTAGATTATACAAATACAAATAGACTTGGATAGAAATAATTCTGCTAATATTTGACATTTGACAATAAAAAGTGAGAGTATTTTGACCGAAATTTTATTTCCTTAAATGATATATCTGACTTTTAACTAAAATGTGAATTTCATGTTGCTGAAATTTAAGATGTTATAAATGAGAAGTAAAAGATAAGACAGAGAGTAAATCTGGTGATTTGATTAATTTTGGATCAATAAGAATCATAGAAGAATAAGAATAAGGATGTAAACAGACTGTTTTTATCTTGAATTTCTTCATCTGACTATCCTTACATTTAATGTTCTGTCCTGTATTATGAGAAGCTGAAAAGAAAAAAACATTTACTTTCTTAATATTTTTAAAAATTATATCTCATTTTTTATTAATATGGCATCCAGCCTATTAAAATTTCAATAGCAACATCAGCTATTATGTGAATACTTACAGTTCACATTTCTCAAATAGACAAATTTGTTCAATTTGTAGATTAACAAAAACAATGAGTATTTGCTTTGAAGTTAGTATTCAAAATTGGCCAATTTCAAAAGAAATATTAAAATGCTTTGTTGATTTGTACTATTTATGTTCTGGAAAATAACCCCCCATTACTACACAAAATAATTGTTTTCAAAATTCTCCTCTATTGTTATGTAAGTGGTGCCAAATCTAGTCATTTTAGAACATTGGCATTATGTACATTTTCTTTATACCTGGTGACTATATTAAGGTTGCATTGATTTATTGTGGTTACCGGTATTGTGCCTGGATAAAAATTTAAAAAATGCTAATACCTTAGCATTTTTATTTTCTTCACAAAATTAAGACATGTTATAGGAATTAATCTTTATTTGAATTCAGCTAATGTGAAGTAATAGTTCATAAAGAAGCTATTGCTCTTCCTATCGTAATGACAAAAATGTGTTTTTCTTTTCTAAATAACCATTTCAATGACAGTTCTTATCTGCATAAATGGGTGAGCTCATATTTAAACAATAGAGTCATAATTAAGAGAGTCTTAATCCTGAAATCTTTTTGAAACGTTCCTCTATTTCAATCTCTGAACGTCCAGA
The DNA here is from genome assembly GCF_000001405.40 of Homo sapiens. Taxonomy (NCBI): domain Eukaryota; kingdom Metazoa; phylum Chordata; class Mammalia; order Primates; family Hominidae; genus Homo; species Homo sapiens. Next base: position 95,964,959 of record NC_000006.12, on the reverse strand, counting down.
TAATTATGCATTGGAGAGTGTCAGAGGAACAAATCAGAAAAAGAAATATGTATTTAACCAATATTTAGGAATGTCACATGAGAGGTCCAGGTTTGGAATGGGGTAGTGTGAGAATATAAGTAGTAATGTCATCTTTACTATGGACTTAAGGTGAATAAAGAATATTTTAGAGTGACACAAAATAAGAACAATTATTCAATTAGAGCCTTATATTTTGCCAAAAGTCCACACTAAAAGTGACATTACTGCTTATATTCTCGCCCTCCCCCACTCCAAAATTTTCCTCACTTTTTGTACATGGCCCCATTTTCGACCTAACAGGCTAACCAAGAAATTTGAAAAATGACTTAGTTTGTCTTTGTGCTTCACCCACTACATTGAGTAGATCACCAAATACTATTGATTCTATCTTTAGAAAGCTCTTCATCTTTCCTCTCTGTATGAACTCCATATAAAATTGAAATCTTTCTTTTTCTAGAGGGTAACTATTATATCAACAGTTATATTAATAACTGTAGCTTTGCTCTGTTCAAACACATCCCCCTAACTTTTCTCTGATTTATCTTTCTAAAATAGAAAATGTTTGCTTATATTTCCCTTGCTTAAAATATTGCAATGGTGCTCAAGACTTTGTAACAGGGCAATAATTCATGAGTTTGCTTGGCTTTGCTCCTCAACGTTATTTCTCTCCAGTTCTTTTTTATCCTTATTAGTAAAGTATTCACTCTGGCTATATTCAATAATTTACAGTTTCTCACATACTCCTTTGCTTGACAGAAATGACTTCCCTAAATGCCCTCCAACACAGACTAACTCCTACAAATCCTTTGAGACTTTGCTCATGTGCTGCTAGGAGATTAGGTAGAAAATCTTGCTAAATTCCCCCAACATATTGTATATCAAGGACTACTTCATTTATTGCAGATAAAATGGGAAACAAAAAAGTTATGGTTCTTGACTTTATGTTAGAGTGTAGTGATGAGAGGCAGGAAAAAGAAACAAACAAAAATAAAACAGTCACACATTTTGTTTACCACTTTACAGGAAACAAACAGAAAACTAAGAATTAATGAGAGTGAATGTGTAGATGGGAGATCTACTTTGGATAGGGTGGTCAGAAAGAGGAGACATTTTAGCTGATACCTAAAAGACAAGGAGCAGCACAGATATATGCCTTGAGTCCTTGTTGGCATTTGATAGTCAGCTTCCTCCACTCACCATGAGCTTCTGAGATCTCCAATCTCTCTCACACTGAATATTCTTAGAAATGTCTAGAATAGAAAGTGTTTACACTGAATTAATTTATTTTGGAGACCCATGACTACGTTGCTTATTATTTCTTACATCTTCTTTCCCCATTCAGCATATAGTCTGAAGAATGGCATAGCATCATTTTCATAAGCCCTTCACAAGCTAGCTAGCATTTCACACACTGTCTTCCTCCAGCATTGGGTAGTGTGCAGAAACAATTCCCATTCTAGCTTTGTAATTTTTCTCTAATTTGCATTTAAGATTCTTATAAATTGCATCCGTACTTTCAGATTACTTAAGTCTCATTTGAATAAGTGTGTAGCATTCCAAAAACCATCATCAAGAGTTTTTGTTTGTTCATTCGTTTGTTTGTTTTAATGCATACAGCCTCACACAGGGCACTCCATTTTAAAGTACTTAAGAAGAAAATGGTTAATAAAAGGAATCTGAAAACTGCTCAAGTGGGAATATTTAGAGTTGCATACGTTCTCAGTAAAAGTCTATTTTGTTTTAGATTTGGTCTCAGCCTCCACAATGCCTACTTTAGTGTCAGCAAAGATGAGAAACACAGAATCAAGGCAAGAGCAACAACATTTTGTAAGCTGGAAAAGAGATGGAAAAGTTTGTAAAAGGAGAATAAATCTCTGAACCCCCAAATCACTAAGGCAAAGGGAAAAGTCAAGCTAGGAGCTGCATCAGGCAAACCTGCCTCCCATTTTATTCCTAAATAAGATAGCTGCAAAGATAAAAAAGTTACATACCTCCCTCACAATGTGCCCACAAGGAAATTCCTTGTGGTTCTCAAGATCTTTGTCCTGAAACAGTTCTGTCGAATTTCACCTTGGCAATGTAAACTGATAACTTATCTTCACAGATGTGGAAAAAGGGGACAGAACTCAAAGTCATCTCAGCTCACTTGAGACAAATGCATGTCTGATTTCTTCTTCTGCCCTATTGTTTATGTAAAATATAAAGATTCACTGAGTCAGACTAAGGTATAAGTGACTATTCCTCTAGCCCCCTCCCCCACATTTAAATTGTGTGTTCAGTGAAAGGATGATCGAAGACTCAAAAGAATGCAACTCTTTGTCTCTTATCTACCTATGACCTCAAAATCTGGGGCAGCCTTCCAGTTGTCCTGACTTTCTGGACCAAATCAATGTACATCTTACACATATTGATTGCTGTCCCATGTCTCCTAAAATGTATGAAACCAAGCAGTATCCTGACTACCTTGGTCACATGTCATCAGACCTCCTGAGGCTGTGTCACAAGTGTGTCCTTAACCTTGGCAAAATCAACTTTTTAAGTTGATTGAGACCTGTCTCAGATACTTTGGCTTCACAAGTGGTAACAGGTTCATCCATCTGAAAAAAGCCAGATTCCAAGCCTAACATGGAAATCTTAAGACTACACAATGTCTACTGAATAATTCTCAAGAATTACCAGAAATATCAAGGACCATGTAATTGTAAGTGAAGGGGAAGCCTAACATGAGGAAGACTGGCTAAAAGACATTTATATGCATTACTATTTCTAGATCCCCTAAAAAATACTTCCTGTTTGTAAATTGCCTCTTTCTCAACCAAATAGAAATCTAAAAGTTTATGCTATGAATTGAGTAAATAGAAGGGATTGGTAGAAACAAGCACAGCGGGGATATTCCCCAAAGGGATTAAATGGTGATTCCTATAGTGACTAATGAATTCAACGATGACAGCCCTTCTCTACCATTGAGCTTCTAGGTCCTTACCTTCCAAGTAGGATATTGGAGGTCTCTATGGGAGACCAGACAAGTCCTTGAGAATAGGCCTGAAATTCTGACATCAAGGGTTCGGTTGGTATCGATAAGAGAAACTAGATACCCTTTTGAAGCTCAAAGAAAGCCAAGACAGAGGACAAAATTGAATTCTTGAAACAAGATATTTACCACAAGAAAGAGGTAAAGAGACCTCCTGGTAAGATTATGAATAAAGATCCCTCAATGATAACTGTGCTTCAGAATAGATTGGAATAGACTCAAGAGACAAACTTGTTGAAGTCTACTTTCAACAACCTCTCCACTGCCTCTGTGCCATTATTATTAATCTAAGAGCAGAATGCCTACGTGGCACCTGCCCCAGATTCTTACCTGTACCTGGTTGAACTAAAACATGTACTGATAAAGTTATTGCTTCTCTCCTCATGCTTTATTCCCTGGATCAGTTGACGTTCCCATAAGTGTTCTGCTTTGGCCAATTCATGGGACCTAAAGTTGGGCTATGATGAGCTTAGAAGCAGAAAATGCAGAGCTGCTCACTTCCTCTGACCATATTTCTGTTGAATATTCCTCAATATCTATTTCTCACTTCAACCTAGCTACATGGTCTAAGTGACAAAAGCCCTGTTTGTCAGGACTCTAATAGCTTCACCCACTAACTTCACCAAAAAGGGCTCTTATACACTTTTAGAGATGCTATCTCTCAGCAGAGTTTTTCCTGAAAGCTTTCCACTAATAGTGTAAAATTCCATTTTTATTATTCATCTAGTTTTATTCTTGCTACTTAGGGTTTCCAAACTAGACATACATATTCAGACAGCTAAATATATATGGAAAAAGAGAATAATGAACAAAAAATTGACTCTAGAGGATAACTATAATTTTGTAGGAACTCACAACTTCTTAGGAACCAGTAGTGTTCTAACTCATTAATATGGTGGTGAGACTGTGATATTCACTTATTCTTTCAAAATCTGCATATATTATAGATTTATATATATATGCGAGATTAAACAATTAACTTTTTTCAAAATAATTTAGTATTGGCAGAATGTAAAAATAGGCCTATTTGTACAGTGCTGATAGAATATTATGTTGGTATAATATTTGACAAAGGTACATTGTATGCACAAAGGGATTATATTTCAAATAATTTATTGGACAGCATGGACACTGACCATTGACATACTTTAAGGTATATACCTTAGAAACACTTAGAGAAACTTCACACACTTATATAAGAAATACACAGAAGACTGTTTGCTGAATATTTATTTAAAATATTGAAAGTTTGAAGTCTAAGTATTCATCAATATGGGATAGGTAAATAAAACATTGATTGTGATGCAATTGTTAAAATGAATCAGCTAGATTACATGTGAAATTGTAAGAAAAACTTTATAGAATCATTTCACAGCATGATACAATTTATGTAGGTCAACACATAATTAATGTTGATGGCTTACATATAATATGTATGCAGTCAAAGAATTAAAAACATTGTCTGGCAGAATACACACCAAGCTCAGTATAGCAGTTGTCTCTAGAGAGTAAATAAGAAGACTGTGAGAATAAGAACATAAGAATATTGCATATTATTTGTATAGTTTGCTTTTTTAGATAAGATGGTAATCTTTGCTACAAGTTCCATCGCTTGTTTTCTAGATGATAGATAGATAGATAGATAGATAGATAGATAGATAGATAGATAGATAGATAGATTTTCAAACTAAACAAATAAACAAACCAAGGAGGATTGGCTTGTGGGGAAAAAATGCTCTTACAATGAGGTAGGCATGATTTAATGGTTCAGCTAGTGGCTTTGAAATTAGACAGACTGATTTTGAATTATGCTCCAAAATTGCTAGTCTTAATCCTGGGCAAGTTTCTTCACTTCTAAAACTCATTTTGACCAGTATGTCAATGGGTATATAAAAAAATTGCAGGGTTTTTTTCCTTTTTAGGTTAGAGAAGAGACAATATTCAAAGAATTTAAATAAGTTTTGTAATTTTTTTGTAAGTAAAGACCACTGAGTTATTGAGTTTAATCTCTACAGATTAAAATGTATATATGTGAGTCACATATATAATGATCTGTCCACTAATTACAAGGCATATTGGAGACTCTGCATAATGAATAATTCAAATTTATTCTTATTTTTTTCCCAATGTCTCTAAGAACCTAGAATACCTCAACATAATATCTCTGTGTTGATAATCAACCATTATTTTTTCTGTGACGTTGTATACTTTGATGACACAGCACATCAAGATACTCACTGTTGGTATCCCTCCCAAAACAATAGTCCCATCTGTGATGTCTTTTATTATCATACAGGCAGAGCAGTGTGCAACACTCAGTAAAACTGGCTAACTAGCCACAGTGTCTGCAATGCACTCATTCAAAGCTACTAAAACTCACAGATGGGTACATTGCTGTGCTAATGTTGGACTGTGCTTCTCTCAGATGAACTGGAAAGTTGCCCTACTCATTGGAACCCAGAGAGCCATTCACTGTTATCCCATGTCTGCACTATTAGCTCATACTTCAGAACTAGCCTATGGTTTGGCCTGCAGTGTACAATAACTTGTGTTTTAGATGCAAGTTCATGCTGTCACTTGGTTGAACAAAGTATAACAGTAGAACAAATACAGCCCATTATTATAATTCCTTGTACTCAGCAGACTATGTTTATGATAATAACTAGTGAATTGCATTTTTAGTTCAACAGAAGTGATGACATAAATATAAAAATACAGAAGGCTGATTAAATTACTTATGGTTTAGGGAGCTGTTCATATTAAATAAAGAAGATAACCAATAACAGCATTACTGGAACACAAAACTCAGTAGTGTATTTTGTACAAAAGACTAATATAGTTAGCTTATCTATCAGAGTGATGAGTATGTGATTATAATATCATCTCACCTAACCATATGCTACAGTGTTTATACAAATTTACCAAATTTAGTGAAACAAAAATTCTTTCATATGGTGTGCATTAATCTGTCATTCCTCTTTACTAAATGCAGCCTTTGAACAGATGGGGATGGTGGTCATTTATTGCTTTCTTTCCTGAAATTACAAATTCTGGAATACTGTCTAGGGATGTTTTTCTTACAAAGTACACCAAATGCCAACCTCCTCTCAGACAATAAAACATAATAACTCAGTCACTGCTCACTGAAATAAACATTCATGTGATGAGAGATAATGTGACAAGAAAAAAATAATTTCAACCGGGGATTTTCAAACTATTTTTCTTAGAGTCCTGGAAGCTGTTTATTGGTAGTCGGGGTTGGTGGCTTTAACCATTGCAGGTCCATCTTTAAGGGATTGTTTTTTTAGACTCTACTCAAACTTTCATATGAAAACAAGGTTCCATTGCTAAATAATACCAATGTGCACAAAACAGTATTTTAGGTAAATTAATGTGGTACCCATTGTTCTAACAGAGTACAAATGGTAATATCTATGAAAATTGGCATTCTGATGCAAAAATTTATATGAAGCAGATATTGCACTATTTTTTCAAAATAAATGTAAGGGGGTTTATAACCATAGGAAACACTTATAAAGTATTTACTATATAATAAATACTGATCTAAGAACTTTACATATATTAACTCACTTATAAGAATCCTAAAAATAATCTTATAATTCTAATACTTCTCTAATACTAATAATAATCCTATACTCATGCAAATTTTACAAATAGGGAATGGGAGGTACAGAAAGTTCAACCAACATACCAGCAGGCAGGAAGTACTGCTGCCAGGAATGGGTCTGAAATCTGTGCTCTTAAACATTAGACCTCATCTGTGAGGTGGTAGTGGAATTTTTTTCTTCAATACATATACTTCAATTCATCACAGTGCTAAAATAACACAGTATTTTTTCAAAAATACATCAATGCAATTGAATAAGGAAAACAGAAATAGACCATTTCTATGTGGGAATTTATAATATAAAATGGGTTGTATTTCAAATTAGTATGGAAAGTAAAAGCAAGCTTTTAGTAAATTGGAGATGAACATCTATTTTAAAACAAAATTTGATTTCAATAGCTACCTCACACTATATAAAAAGTACTAATAGATTAAGAGCTAAATATTTTAAAAAGTAGTAGAAAAAATATAGAAAAATATTTTTGAATTTAGGGATTGAGATATCTTCCTAAACAAGATATAAAATGTAAAATATATAAAGAAGAAGTTGAATGACTTTGCTACATACAACACAAAACTCTTAATAAACAGACATCATAAATATTGGCAAATGACAAGCTCGAGGCTGGAAGAAAGTATTTTTACAGTTTACCTGCAACAAAGGAGTAATAAACAGAATACACAGAAAGCTTTTATGTTTCAGTAGGAAAATGCCAAGAGAAAAAAATGAGCAAATTATATGCGCAGATTTTACAGAAAAAGGTACAAATGATCAATACATACACTAAAAAACATTCGACCTCACTAGTGATTTGTAAAACTCCCAATTGAGACAATAATAATATACATAAGTTGGATAAAATGGAAAAGTTTAATATTCAGTGATGAGGAGAATATCAGGGAAATGGAACATTAATACACTGTTGAGGGTGATGGTAAATTGATTCAGTTTTTAGGAGGCTATCTTAGTTCATTTTGTGCTATTATAACAAAATACCTAAGACTGTATAATTTATAAAGAATAGAAATTCATTTCCTACATTTCTGGAGGTTGGATAATACAAAATCAAAGTACCAGCATTTGGTGTCTTGATAAGGGCTTTTCTCTGCTTCCTAGATGGAGCCTTGTTGCTGTATCCTCTGGAGGGCAGGAACACTATGTTCTCATATGGCAGTGGGGATGAAGGGCCAAAGAGATGAATGCTGTTTCCCCCAGCTCTTTTATTAGATTATGAATTCTATTCATGTGGGCCCAAACCAATGGGAATAAACAGACAAACACAAGTAATAAATAAACCATTTGTTGTTTTTGTGAACAAAAGTCAGGCTGATTGATTTTTAAATTTTGGCCCTGTGTTAATGTACTCATAAACACCACCCAGAGATACTCTAGGTCTGTGTAAGACTAGGGATCTTTTAGATCTTTAGACCTTATTGAGAAATGAAACTTAATATTATCAAGTGCAAAAAATAGGTTACATTAAATTTTATTTGAGGAACTGTCATCATCTTAAAATATGGCTGATTTTGAATCAATTTCTATTCATGCTTTAGATGTGGCAAAGCCACTATGGGACACTAGTGACTATTTTCTATGTTTTTCTATCACTTTACTTCCCTTTTTATGGCCGTAGAAATACATGACTTAGTGGCTAAGATCTTTCATTTTATAGACAGACACAGTTTAAATTTTGTGTGCCCTGATTTACACACCAGCTGTGTACCCTAGATCAAGATGTGTGATTCCTCTGTTTTATTTTCCAAATGACAAAATGTAACAAACTCAGGATAATTGTGAGGATTAAATAAACTAATGCTTGAATGCACCTAAATAATGCTGGCTATTATCATCTGAATGTTTGTGTTGTCTCTAAATTCATACGTTGAAACCTAATCACCATGTGAGGATATTAAGAGGTGGGGCCATTGGAAAGTGATTAAATCATAAGGGCTCAGCCTTCATGAATGAGATTAGTTTGCCCTTATAAAAGAGTCCCTAGAAAGCTGCCTTAAGTTCTTTGAACTATGTGAGTACATACCCAGAAGTCTCCATATATGAACCAGAAAATGGGCCTTCACTAGACACCAAATATGTCAATGCCTTGATCTTGGATTTCCAAGACTCCAGAACTGTGAGAAATAAATGTCTTTTCTTTATAAGCTACTCAGTTAAGGGTATTTTACTACTGCAGCCCAATGGGCTAAGACTCCTGCTATATAGTAGTCAAATATCTTAATATTCATACCCCTATATTTTCTGATTTATCACTCTATCACAGACAATTGTTAGTTTATTATAACAGCATACAAATCAAAGAACACAGATTTTTTTCTGCTGTGTTAAAGGTTTTCATAGATTTCTGAAAGTCTCCTGATATATTTAGATTAGGAGGATACTAGACTTGCTCTAGTTTTGGAAATAGAATAATCATCAAACTGAAGATACACATATGTTTGTCTAATTCTCTAAGGAATCGACAGGTGTCAAAATAAATATGGATCAAAGAACTTATTAGTCACTCCTTCAAAATTTAATGTCTAGGCTTCTAATTATAAACTTTTCCTTTCTCTTTTTTTAAAAAATGACTTTATTAAAGTATAATTCAACCCATACAATTCATTCATTTAAAGTGTACAATTCAATTATTTTTAGTATATTCACAGATATGTCCAAACCTCACCACAGAACATTTCACTGCCACAAAAGGAAACTTCTGTAAGCTTTAGCTATCCTTCTGCCATCCACCCTCCCCTATCCCTAAGCAACCACTAATTTACTTTCTGTGTCTGTAGATTTCCCTGTTCTGGACATTTCAAACAAATCAAATCATAAAATAAGTGGGTTTTTTTTGTGTATGACTGGTTTCTTTCATTTAGCATAAGGTTTTCTTTTTATTTCCAACTTTTAAGTTCAAGGGTACATGTGCAGGATGTGCAGATTTGTTACATAGGTAAGTATGTGCCATGGTTGTTTGCTGCACAGATCATCCCATCACCCATGTATTAAGCATGGGATTTATTAGCTATTCTTCCTGATGCTCTCCCTCCTCCCACCTTCCACCCTCTGAGAGGCCCCAGGATGTGTTGTTTCCCCCCTTGTGCCCATATGTTCTCATGATTCAGCTTCCACTTATAAGTGAGAACACGTGGTATTTGGTTTTCTGTTTCTGCATTAGTTTGCTAAGGATAATGGCCCCCAGCTCCATCCATGTCCCTGCAAAGGACATCATCTCATTACTTTTTATGGCTGCGTAGCTTTCCATGTTGTATATGTACCACATTTTCTATATCCAGGCTATCATTGATGAGCTTCTGGTTGATTCCCTGTCTTTGCTATTGTGAATAATGCTGTCAAGAGCAATTTCAACGAAAGCAAAAATTGACAAATGGGATCTAATTAAAGAGTTTCTGCACAGCAAAAGAAACTATCAACAGAGTAAACAGACAACCTACAGAATGGGAGAAAAGTTTTGCAATCTATTAGACAAAAGTCTAATAACCAGAGTCTTCAGGAACTTAAATAAACTTACGAGAAAAAAAAACCCTATTAAAAAGTGGAAAAGGACACAGAACAGACACTTCTCAAAAGAAGACATACATGAGGCCAACAAATATATGAAAAAAGCTCAAATCACTGACCATCAGAAAAATGCAAATCAAAACCACAATGAGATACCATCTCACATCAGTCAGAATGGCTATTATTAAAATGTCAAAAAACAACAGATGCTGGCAAGGTAATGGAGGAAAAAGAACACTTTTACACTATTGGTGGGAGTGTAAATTACTTCATCCGTTTTGGAAGACAGTTTGGTGATCCCTCAAAGACCTAAAGGCATAAATACCTTTCAACCCAGCAATCCCATTACTGAGTAAATACTCAAAGGAATATAAATCATTTTATTAAAAAGATACATTCATGTGTATGTTCATTACTTTCCCTTTTTCTTGAAATCTTTTTGACTAATAGAATCTTGGAAACTAGCAGAACTCATGAAATCTTTTCTTTGTCTGCTATTGAAAGTAAGTTAGAACTCTGATTTAGAATATGATAGGAACGGTTCTCCTCCAGAATTGTGTAAAAATTTTTGAAGTTCTTTCTTTACTCATCATTTCATAAAACAATTATAAAAATTGAAAATGAAGAAATACCTAAAAATTCTAATTTAGTAATCTTTTTCAGTTATATCTGGTTATAAAAACAGAAGAGGGAGAATAAAAAAAAAGCAAGAGATTTTTTGTTATAAAGAAATAATTTTCTAAGCAAAATCAATAGTTTCCACTATTTTACATAAATTTTCAATACCATCACCAATATTTTCAGCATCAAATATACATAGTTAAGTATGTATATATTTAGATGTATATTTGTACATATATGTCTGTAGAAATATACATGTTAAAACTTTTATTTCTATTTTATTAACAATATATTACTCTGTTATTAACTACATTGGGATAGTCTAGGACTAAGAATTATCTTGTTCAAATTAAATTTTAAAATAAATATTTAAGGAGTTACTCTGTGAAACAATTCATTAAACACAAAGATAAATAAGACACATAACAATTCGAAATAGCCTATGCTTAGTGTGGAATGAATGTTTTTCATCAATAGAAGTGCAACTAGCATTAATCAAGCACCAAATTTGTGCTAGGCACTGGAATAATCATTTTAAGTAAATTTTTTTGTCTATCTTCAGGGCAGCCCTAAAAGTTATATATTTCTAGTTCCATTTTGCAGATGAGAAAACCAAAGCTCAAAAACAGTAAACATCTAGTCTGTGTTTAATAAATAGTAGGTCAACATTATAATTGGGTCTGGGTGCATCCATCCCCACAAATCATTCTATTATGTCATTCAGATCCCAGAGGGTGACAGTTCCCTGGGAAGTGCACAAATTACGAATTCTAAAACAATTAACCTAAAAAAAATTATGCCAGAACAGAGGTACGTGTAACATTTTTTTTTTTTATTGACGGAGTCTCACTTTGTTTCCCAGGCTGGAGTGCAGTGGCGCAATCTCGGCTCACTGCAACCTCTGCCTCATGGATTCAAGTGATTCTCCTGTCTCAGCCTCCCAAGCAGCCGGGATTACTGGCATGCACCACCATGCCTGGGTAATTTTTGTATTTTTAATAGAGATGGGTTTCACCATGTTGGCCAGGCTGGACTCAAACTCCTGACCTAAGGTGATCCACCCACCTCGGCCTCCCAAAGTGCTGGGGTTACAGGAGTGAGCCACCACACCCGGCCAACACAAAATTATTGATCTTGACTGAGTCTATGTAAAGTGACTTATGATACTACCTCTGTCTAATGCACACCTCATTAATTAGCAATATGCTGTTCTGTGTCATGCCTTGCTGCTTTAGTCACATACATAGATTGTACATATGCAACATGAAGAAAAAGCTGATTGCCCCCGAAAGAATACCACTGCTACAAGAACATAGATCTTGCCAATTTGCTGAGTTTTTAAAGATCAATACCATTTCTCAGGGACTGTAGTTTGAACATGCACACATGCAAATATTAAACTTAAGTTTTGCCAGCCCCAAAACAAGGAGTAGGCACAGTGGGTTCAAGGTCATCTACGGTTTTTAGGAGGAAGAAACAGAGAATGATTCTATGCTTACTGTATATTATTGACAGTTGAACCACATGAAATTAATTATATTTAGTTATCATTTTATGGGATTAACTATTCTCAAATAAAATGCTAGATTATAGGACCCTTTAGTTTTTTTTTTTTTCTATAAAAAGACTTGGTCATGATGAACTCTATAAACCTGACATTTAAGTTGAAACATTGGAGTATAAAATTCTTTACCGACAAACATTCTTTGACACTAGCACATTGAGGACATCAGCTATTTGGAATGAGCACCCGACCATCTATATCAGATACTGGTCCTTTTACATTAATGGCATACATTGTCAATGAGAGAGAGTAAAAGTCTTGCTTGATATCCATATATATCAGTATCATTGCTTTTGGGTATGAGAACACAGGTTATCCGAATATTTACTAACTCCTTTATAGTAGAATAAGAAACTATGGAAATGATTCATGAGCAAAGTCAAGCAGAAGTAATGTATTTTGTGCTACAACATATATTCACATATTTAAATTTCTATGTATTTCTTGATATTGAGGTCAGAGGAGAGCCCTGGACTTTAAAATAGAGGAATTAAATATTACATTTCCTTTGTGATTTACTATTTTTATTGCCTTTGCTTCCTGCTGAAAGACCTTCAAAATTATTAAATTTGCATATAGGCTAGCTTGTGACAGTTGAGTCCGAATGAATTCTGTTCGAAAGTTTGGTCTGAATGTTTGACTTAATTGACCATATGTCTAGGAATGAGCTGATATTCGGCTTTCTGTGCTTGGAGATATATTTATCTCAGATAAATTTCTCTTAGCACAATTTTTATTTCCTCTCCTGACTATTCCTCCTGTCCAGTTTACCCAGCATAGGTAAATGGTGTCATTATTCACCCATTCTTCTCAAGCAGAAATACTGAGAGTCATCCTGTATTCTTTTCTTTCCCTCACACCCTACATGCAGGATACAACAAAATTTTCTTTTTTGCTCTAACTTCACACCTGAATACTTCTCACCATCTCTGCTACTGCAGAGCTAAGCACAAACAAAAATTATTTGCCAATGAGGCACACACAGTAACTTCTTGTTAGTTTCTCTGCTTGCAGTTTTGTCTTTTTACATAGTTCATTCTCTGCAAGGAGGTTAATTTAATATTTTATGAGCATAAATCATATATTACTTTTCTGCTAAGAAACTGCTTAGAAATCTTCAATAGAGGGTATTCATGACCCTGTTTGCTTGGGAGAGTCCTAGTTTGTTTCTATTGTTCTGAAATAATTATTAATTGAGCCTCCTTTCTCTCTCAAAAGATTCTGGTTTGGATGACAGGTTGTGTAGTTATCCTACTTCAGTGGCTTCTTACTGCAATTCAAGTCAAGTGAAACACACCCTTCTTTCCTTAGCTTAGAAGGCCTGACCTCATTGACCTCTGCCTACCTCACTGACTTAAACTTTTTTACTTTCATTTGATTAATTCTAGGGACACTGGTCTTTTTGTATTTCAAACAAGGTCAAGCTAGTTCTTACTTGAGGCCTTTGCACTTGATTTTCCCTCTGCATAGAAGGCTTTTCTACCAGATCTTTACATGGCAGGATCCTCCTTAGAAAAGACCTTTTTTATCACCATCTTTTAAAATCACCAATCAGCCCTTATTTCCCTTTTTATTGAACAGATCTTTTCTTAATATAATTTTTATTTTTAATTTTACTTCTATTTATTTACTTTTCTGGTTAATATTTCCCTATTAGGCTAAAGTTTACTAGAATGTAGCTGTCAAGGGCAACTAATAGCTTTGTTTCCAGAACTTAGCTTTAAACCAGTTTTCAGCACATAGTAGCTGCCCCATAAATATTTGTTGATTATATGAATTAGCTATAGAGACCCAGGAGCATAAATATGATGACCTTTGTACAGAAACTTACAGTAGAATAAATTGGCGCTTTGACTAAAGCAAACGTTCCATGAATGATTCTGTAAATTTTAGGCCACTAAAATCATATACTTGTAATTCAGTAAGAACCAGGTTAAACTTTGGTAAAGATAAAAATACATTCAGTGATACATTTTCATGATTTTTTTTAACTTAAATCTGCCAGCCTGTCATGACTGTATGTTCACCCAGTATTTAAAATGCTGCTGGGTTGAGGAAATCATACCCTCTCTTTACCACCAATTCTTTGATTCTATTATTATTATTAATCAATTAGCACTCAGAAAAGGTAAAGTCAAGTTCTTATACTTGAGAATTCTATGAGTTTACAGATAAATCTTCACAAAATACACAGATTATTTTCACTTCTACTAATCTCAAAAATCTTATTTTTCTACCTTGTAATGAAATCAAGGCAAAAATCTTATTTGTCTACCTAATACTGAAATCAAGGCACATAGGAGTACTGGCGAATTATGAGGTAGAGTGGACATGGTGCAAAAACCTGAACTTGGTAGGAAACCAGTTTATCAAGCCAGAGTTATGCAACTTGACTGTAGCCCATTAAGGAAGTCCATGAAATGGTGTTTCTTTTTGCCTTGGAGCCTCAGCATGTTTATTAAAAATATCAGTACAAGTCAATAACCTTTGTGTGATAACCTTTGTAAAGTACTCAAAAATGTCCCGGCCCAGTCAATTCAAATTTCCTTTTCCTTTCCTTGTCTCCTTCAGCTAAATTCAGTTCAACACACATTTATAGAGAATCTTTCATTTTTTTTAGCCTGGTGCTAGATGCTGAAAACCAAAAATCAAGAAATCTCATCCCAGTCCTTAGGGATGCCTATGTTTATAGGACATAATATAACTATGGGCTACAATCTTATTAAGATAATACTAAGCTCACTGAATTCTGTTCCCAGTTTCTAGCAAGAGATAAATATAGGAAAAAAATTAAATGATATTTTTCTCCCATTTTTATTCCTCTTATATATGAGTCACAAGACAATCTTAATATTAGTTTATTGATTGGTCCTTTATATAAATTAATATAATAAAGGATTAGATTAGGAAAATGGAGAAGAAAGGAAATAAAAATCCAGATTATTGGTAGGGAAATTGTTCTCTTAGTGGGCAGTCAACCATAAACATGATTTTGAGGAATAGAAAAATAGATTTTATGGAAAAGTTAGAACTTTTGTTGCTTAGAAGTACACATAATCTATTCTGCTTGATGACTGAAGATTTGTCTACAGAGATCCAAATATTGGTTTAAAAACATAAGGCAGTCATGCAGTTATTTCTTAAAGTGTAGATTTTAAGGTTATGGAAAGCAGTAATTTGGATACCTGACAATTTTAAGGATTCTAAAATTTTAAACTGGAAGCAACCTTAAATATCTTTCAGTCTAATGGATGAGTTTACAACCTGAATAGCTTAAGCAAATTATCCAAAATCTCACTGTTAGACAGTGATAAATTCTCAAGTAGAATCTACTGACTTGCCGTTTTTACATTTTAACCAATTTACTTTGCTATTTAAAACGTACTCCTTATTTTCATCTGTAGTTTTCCTGTTCTATAGCTCACACCTGTGTGTGCAAAATTGGCTAAAACTCTTGCAAGAAATGCCTCTGACTTCAATGAGATATGCGTTTGACAGGCATTAGTAGATAATTGCTAGTTTTTTTTTTAAAAAAATTGCTTATTTTAAATGTAAATGTTCTGAGTACAGTGGACCACATATGAATTAGTAAAATTTTGATTTTTTTCCAGCATAAAGAATGTGTCAATAATAAGAATACACAGGAACAAAAACAACATTTTTTTTTCCAAATTGCTCATTCCCTCCACAGTCTTCACAGTCAAAGTGAAGGGTTGTCTTTGTTGTTTTATGTTTTTTTTATGTTGTTTTATGTTTTTCTTGATGAACAAGCAAGAAGTTTATGGCTAATTTTTGTCAGTCTCCTTGCAGTAGAAAGGAAAGGGCAAATGCTTCTTGATTTACCGAACATTATAGCTGTTATTGCTCTTGTTAGTCCTGGATAAAACTCAGAAATTCAGGAAGTAAAGAAAGTCTCACTCAATGACATTACTGTAGAATTCAGACCAATAAGAGGGAGACTTGCAGACTGAGAATGAAGATATTAGCATTATTACTGGAAGTATAGATGACCCTCAATAACACTCTCTTAGTAAATGAGAACAGAAAGTGAAAAAGCAGAGTGTGCTCGATTGAGAACAGCAGTCTGCAAAACAATGTCTGAAGGAGATGAACCTATGGTGTCCAAGTTTCAATTCACTGATTCCTCCTTTGAATGGAATGAGAAGAAATCTTTCACAATTTTATGAATTGTGTAAGTTACTCATCTTCCAGGAGGAATATGTGAGTTGGTGGAAATACAGGCAGAAAAGCATTCACTCGATGCTCAACAAGCCAGTGAGTCAAACACAAATGAGCTGAGATGAGAAGCAGGAATAGAACGGGAAGGTTTCCACATCACATTTCAGCTCCTCAATCTGGTTCTCAGCTTTTTAATTTTTTTTTTAATTTATGCTTTGGTGACCAGAGGACAATAATTTCCATTGTTCTTCCTTTTTTTCCCCTCCTTTCTCCTTCCTCCTTTCTCCTCCTCCTCTGTATTCCCCTCTTCCAACTTCCCCTCCTCCTCCTCCTTCTTCTTCTTCTCCTTCCTCTTCCTTACTTTTTTTTATTGTGGTAAAATACACATAGCATAAAACTTACCCTTTTAGCCATTTTAAGTATATAGTTCTGTGACATTAAGCATATTCACATTGTTGTGCAACCATCACCATCATACATCTCTAGAGATTTTTCACATTTTTCATATGGAACTTTTGATTGTGGTGATGGCATTGCAGATATATGCATATCTCCAAAGTCATTAAATTGTCTGCATTAAATATGTCCAGTTTTTAAAATATATCAATAATATCTCAATACAGCTTAAAAAATTTCAAGAAAACACTAACTTTTCGTTCCCCCTTCCCATCAGCTCCTGATGACCATCATTCTACTTGATCCCCATTTTCAATAATACTTCTTGCTACTACACATCTTAATTTTAATTTTTTTTAAATCTAGTTTGCGATAAATAATACAGAAATAGTGTTACCTCGTGTTCCATTTTTTTACATGATTAACATGTCACAAGTACATAAGCCATTTTTTCATTTTTGTGAAATGACTAATTTTTTAAAATATATATCAGCTTTATGAGATATAATTAATATACCATATAACTTATCTATTTCAAGTGTATAATTTAATGGCTATTAGTATATTCAGAGTCATTACAATCTATTTCAAGTGCATAATTCAATGGCTGTTAGTATATTCAGGTCATTACAATCAATTGTAGAGCATTTTGACCACTCCAAAGAGAAACACATGCTCGTTGGTAGTAATTCCACGGTTCTTCCCACTTTCCCATCCCTAAACAATCACTAAAATACATTCTGTCTCTATAGAGTTTTTTTGTTCTGGATGTTTCATATAAATAGAACACTAAAATATGTGGTGTTTTGTGACTGGTGTCTTGTGCTTAGCATATATTTTCAAGGTCCATACACGTTTAGCATGTATCAGTACATTACTCATTTTTATTGCTGAATAATATTCCATTTTATGGATATACCACATTTTGTTTACCAACTTATTGGTTTATGATTATTTGGGTTATTTCCACTTTTTGGTTAATATGTATAATGCTGCTATATTAATTCATTTAAATGTTTATGTGTAGACAAACATTTTCATTTCTAAGAGTGGTATTCCTGGGTCACAAGGTCACTCTATGTTTAGCTTTGTGAGAAACCCCCAAACTGTTTTCCAAAGTAGGTAACTATTCTGCTTCACAGCACTCAAGTCCATTTGTTCCTGACATTAAGTTCACGCCATTCTTTTACAGCCTGTTTAAGATAATGTCTATTCACAACATTTTAATTATAGATTTATTTCAGAGTTAATGTGATACTAAAATAAAATTACTAAATTTTGATTACAGACTATCTTGAGATAGTTGAATCTTAATAAATGTGTAATAGTTTCATCTAGATATTTGATTGAAATGATTCAATCTTAGCTCAATAGCAGTGAGCTAAAATTAGACCTTCTATACCTGAGGATACAATGTTAATCTCAAAATGAATATCTTAACAGAATTCTTGTATTCCCTCCTGGCTAGTTCTTCTGTACATTTTGCTCAATGAAAATAAATAATATTATTCATTTTTTTCCAGGAAAAAATACTCGGAGTAATTTTGTGCATGTGATAACTTGGGTCAATATCCCTTACCAATATACAACTCCTTTCTTTGGTAGTGGGTTGCCAGTGCAAGGCCCCCAAAATATCTAGGAGGCAACTATAGCTTTAGGTTTAACACACTCCTTACCCACCCAGATAACTAGATCTTTTTGTCTTCAAAGTATTAGGGATAGTTCATCACTAGGGGTGACGATGAGAGGGGCTTCTCACTTCTATAACTGTGATTCTCCATGTTTTATGGCTAACTAGGAACACAGTGATGTATAATGTCCATTGGTTCAATTATATATCAGATTTTGAAGAACAGCACCCCAAGCTGTCATTCTCAAGTTGTCATATTAACTGTATTTGTAAATAGACTATTGAGAAATTCAATCAGCAAGTGATATAGTATATTACAGGACTGAAGAATCCGTAATCATGCACCCATATTGAACCTCTTTCATCAAAGTCCCAGGTGATGATATGAGGGACTCCTTGAAGGTATTCAGGTAGTCTTACCCCACAAACAGTGGATTGGGCAAGGCGATGAGGGCAAAGAAGGCTAACTCATATCCCCAATTTGTACAAAATACCTGTGAGGTTAGAATCCTGGATCTTATAGGAAATAAGAATTATAATGTCATTAAATTACCTCTAAGGAGCTAGTTGGTTTCCTCAAGGGATGGTACGATATCAGCATTATTTTCTGTTGCTGCTACATTGAACATTTGGTAGCAGCAGTAGTTAGGTAACTCTGGGTGAGAAGGAGCTCATGCTTTAAGGCCTACCAATTGCCTCCATCACTGCCACCATGACTGTTGAAACTCTGGAGTGGTTGACGCCAAAGGCTAGCTCACATCTACAGAGAGGTGTATCCTGTTGAACTTGCCTTTTATGGGCAAGTGCTTCTGTACAGTCTCTGCTATTCTACAATTCTATCATCTCCATTGAAACCAGGAATACCAATTCCATGGAAGCATCTTCTACTATCAATCTTGACTCACAGAATTCAGCCACTGCTGGGCTTCTGAATGATTCAACCAATCCCAAGTGCCCCTTCTTACTAGCATATGCCTCATAGCACGAGTTCTTCCCCACTCCATTTGTATTCCATCTCAATATACTACAGGTAAGAGTCTTAGTTAATGTTATCCTAGGGCATACGAGAGACATCACTTGCTACTTACCAACAATGCGGCCCTTTGAATATCTGTCTGAGAAGTAATCTAATGCCAGAAGCCCATCCTGAAGGTTTGCTTCCTAGAATCAATTCCAGTGCTTACATTTTTTTTCACCCCAGAGGAGACTCTGAGAAAAATATTTGAGTGAATATAGAAACACTAGTAGAAAAATAGGTAAGTGAAAAAAGAAAGGGAAGACAAAAATATTTGCATTATTGAGCATGAATTACTCAGTACTTCCTGCCTAATCTGAGCACTTAGGTTGAAAGAGAGCTCTCAGATACAATGTTAAACCTGTTCGCAGTAAAATACCTTTGGTGTAAACTGGATCCGTAAGTGGCAAAGGGATATTGAATAAATATCAACATTTGCTACAAATATTCTATACATACTTCACCTTGTTAAATATACTTTTCAAGTTTTGTATACTCATTAACTTTATGTTTGCTCAATCTACCAAAAATTGAGAAAGCTACATTGAAATCTTCCATGATAGTGTGATATTTTTCATTTCCTTCATGCATTTCTATCAGTTCTTGCTTTATATATTTTGGGTGAATTGCATTTGGAAATACTGTTTCAGAATTTTTATATTTTTATCGTGACCATTTCTTAGACCATTTTCTGTCTTTTTACTTTCAATGTTTTTGTGCCCTGTTTTAAAGTGAATATCTTGCAAAAAGCATATTTAAAAAATCATGTATGACAATCTCTGTCTCCTAACTAGCAAGGTTAGTTCTTTAATACCTATTGTGATAACTGATATATTTATACCTTTTCTTCCATTTTACTTTAAATTGTTTAATCTGTCTTGCTTTCTCTACTTTTTAATTATCTTTTATTTATTTGAAAAAAATGAGCTTTATTCCTCCCACTTTGCCCCTTTTATACTTTTGGAAATTCATATATGTGGAGTTAGCATAAAAAGTCTGATATTAATATCTTAACTCTCTCTTAAGCAGCACTTACCTTGGAATGATTTTATTCTGATCACGCCACTCCTGGATTACATTTTTCTGTAATCAAACATTTTTTCTGATATGTTGACAGTAAAAATTAGACATTATTATTTTTACAGACATTTTTATAGAGATTTACCTACCTAACTAATGATATTTTTTGTTCATCATTTGTTTAATCATCTCAGTCCTCCTTCTGGAATAATTTTCTTTCTTCCTAAGTGGCAATCTTTAGAAATTACTTTATTGAAATTTCTTGGCAGTAAGCACTCTTACTATTTATTCATGTAAAGCTTCTTTTATTTCACCCTTGTCCTTAAAAGATATTTTTACTAAGTACACCATTTTAGCTAGACTGTTACTTTTTGACAGTAGTTCAAATATATTATTTTAGTATTTTCTGCCACCCATTATTGCTTTTGACAAGTCTGTTGCCAATATAATGGACTCTTTTACAGATGATCTAGCTTTTCTTCATTGCTATTTTATGACTATTTCTTCCTTGATCTCTTCTTCACTCTCTATTTTATTAAAATTACTATGAGTTACTGAATACTATTATTGAACTGTTACTATGTACTATGCTAAAATATTTACATCTTTTGTATCATTAATTTTCACAAAATCCCTATGATTTACTATTATCAGACCCATTCTTCAACTGAGGAACTGAGGTACGAAGTGTTAAATGTTCAAGGCTATGTAGTTATAAAGTGGTGGAACAGGTATGGGATCTGTGTTTGTTTGATTCCAGAAGCTGCACTCTTAAAAGACTTGCTTTCTTGAGGTACATTTCCACCTGCACCCTCTCACAGATACTCCCTTTAAACTTCACATGAGACTTAGAAATGATAGGTGTTTCTGATTATGATAATTTATGTGTGACTCAATGAATATCTCCTACTAAACTAAGAGTTGCTTTTCAAAACTATGCTCTTAGGAGTAGAGTCAGATGGAGTCTGTCAATGGCATCATGCTGTAGAAAATTTACCATTAGAATTTTACATCTGCTTTAGCAATTTAATTTTTTAGAAAGTGTAAAATATATTTAAAGATACTATCATGTACTTGCAAAGTTTTCTGTTTGTTTGGATATATTCTTGCACTTTCCAAAGAGACTCAACTAAAAATATACTTTTTATTTTTTAAATTATATTTTAGCATGGTGTGCCTTTTAATACTTGATTCCTTGTCTCAATAGTTTTTAGCTTCATTTAATAATTATTCATATGACTTTAGTATTACATTTCGTCCATTTAAGATATTTTTCATAAATGTATCATATATTACTTTATATAATGTATTTTAGATATTTGTTTTATTCAGAACCTTATATTTAGACTATATCTAGACTCCAAACATACTAAATAATTTCATTGTCTAAACCTATTTTGTTATTTTTCAAATCTTGAAATTCAATTTGACCAAGCCACATATCATATGAGCTTTGAACTGATATGATTTATTCTTGGAGAAATCTGTATTCATGTTACTAGATACCCAATGGTTATAATTAATTATATTGCTTCAGAAGTCACAACTCCATAACTGGAATATCTATTCTATGTAAAATATATATAACCACTGGTTGTGAATCATTATGCATTCTCCTTCATCTTAAACACTGAAGTACTAAAAATTCTGCTTGAAATGTTGAAATGTCTCCTAAATAAGGCCTTTATTTACACTCAATGATTTAATCAAAATTCCCCCATTATCTCTTGACTGAACTGTTGCCATAGATTCCTAATTGGTTTCCTCGTTTGAGTCTTCCTATCGTAACTAACGCACAATGCAAAATCCTAGAAGTATCTCCACAATAAGCCCATTTTAAAAGACCTAGGTTGCCTTCATGTTAAGCCTATATTTATATTGAATTTTGCAGTCTCACCCCAAAATAACTCCCGTCAGACATCTTAAAATATTCCTTCCAAGCATCTAGCAGTAAAAACACATTAAACATTTTCCATCTCCTGGATATATCATTACTTTAATAAGTTAACTTCCACGTTCTGTTGCTTTTTGGTTATTTTGTCCTCTTCTTTATTTGACCCATTTTTACATACCTTTCGAGAGCTGGCTCAAAGTTTGCTTTCTTCGTGACGTCTTTCTGGACACTCCTAGATAGTTTTCCTAACTCTTCTCCATGTTTCCAAGGCAGTCATCACAAAGATTTATCATAACATGGGCCATACTTTTTTGCAACTATACCCTACCTGTCTTTCTCTGAAGGTTGAGAATTCTTTGAGGATGGGAACCATATCATATTCACCTTTGAATCTTTTGTACCTAATAGTTTGCTTAATAAATTAAACATGAAGAGTGATCAGGGTTTTATTGTAACAGTTTTTGTCAGATAATAATCACGCCTATTGTGATATTTATGATTTATATATACTGCCTTTGAATCTTTTTCGGCATTAAAACTATTATTTAGGGAAGTGTCAATGGTATGAGCTGGCTTAGGTGTTCTCTACTGCGTCATCCCATGACATCTTGAATTTCTCCTGTGATAGTGCATTTTCAACTTTATTGATTTTGCACATATTATTGAGTGTTTGCCCTCTAAACTATAGCTCCATGAGAGGAGATACCAATTCTGTTTGGTTTACTAATCTTTCTTTGGGGGTCTGCACAGTGGCTTATAATTAAATTCCTTTATTAATTAATGAGTTTATAGACACTGAACTCAAGTCGTAAGTATGGGTTTCGTTTCCATCTCAATTATTTCCTAGTTCCCATGATGTCACTTTCAGATTCTCTGAAATTTCATAACTTTATGTAAGTGAGTCAAAAATAACCACTTATATTACAAGGTCTAGAAAAATCAGGGAAGAATATATTTATTTAAAAACTTCAAAAAATGGAAAGATGCACAAATACAAAATATTTTTAGTTTTACAAAAATAACTGCAATACAGGTGAGTTCAGCACAAATGAGGCTTGTGCCTTTTTGTGTAAATATAAATCATTTATCTTTACTGTAAAACTTTTTGATACACAAATTTTTGGCACTGAGCTTCAGGAGTGACAAGTAATCATTTTTCTCTTCCAAAGTGAGTTCTAGATAAATTGAGAAAACTGCAAAAAAAAAAAGTTAAATTAAGATATAAAAATATGAGTTTTATTATTGATAAATCTGACTTGGAAAATGTGGCTTGAATCACAGCCGAAATTAAGCTTTCTTAATCCTTAAATTGCCAAAATAATAGGCTTACGAGATGATTTTAACAAATACATCACACATAAGGAGAGAAAGCATAATTCCTGAGAATAAGTTGCTTTCCATATTAGGCCTATGAGCAGGTAGCCAGTTCCTTCTCCCAGTCTCACCTATGCTTTCATTGAGAAATAGATTTGGGTAAGAAAAAGGCTAGAAGGTTTTTTTTTTTTTCTGTGTTTTCTTTTTTGGGAATAAAGAGAAAATTCTTACTCACCTAGGGAAACATGAAAAATGAAGAATAAGAACTTCTTCCGTAATACTGCCAAGCTCTTTGCTCTCTTTATTGGACATCCTGCTTCTACTTTCAGAAGTCCTCATGACTCATATAAAAACTGATATTTTATTAGATTTTTATTAGGTGTTTTCTGGGATCAATTGTTTGACAGTTTAGATTTGTGACACAAAGGCTCTGATAGTGTAAAATATATTAGATAGAAAAAACGTTATTAAAAGTAAATGTAAGTTTCTACTGGTTCTTCAATTTGAACATTTATTTATTTTTATTCATTTATTTATTTGTTTGTTTGGTTTATTTTTTTGACAGAGTCTCGCTCTTTTGCACAGGAGCTAGAGTGCAGTGGCACAATCTTGGCTCACTGCAGCCTCTGCCTCCCAGGTTCAAGCAATTATTGTGCCTCAGCCTCCTGAGCAGCTGGGACTGCAGTTGCCTGCCACCATGCCCGGCTAATTTTTTTGTATTTTAGTAGAGATGGGGTTTCACCACGTTGCCAAGGGTGGTCTCGAACTCCTGAACTCAGGCAATTTGCCTGCCTCGGCCTCCCAAAGTGCTGAGATTACAGGCGTGAGCCACTGCGCCTGGCCTAATTTGAAAATGTATTCTTATTCTAACGTTCAATTCAAATAATTCTTAGACATATGGTCCCATGTAGTTCTCCACATGCTATGTGAAGATCTTTTGAGAACATCAAATTACCTTAATCCTAAAATAATGGTTTAGAAAATGATCTAAAGTTAAAAATCATAATGTCCCCTTCCTGACCAAACATCTAGGTAGAAATTAAAATCCCAAAACTTGATGTATTTATTCTTGCCAACATTTAGGATATTAAAGTCTAAAATTAGTAAAATCTAACAGATGGTAAGAGTACAGTTGTTTTCTAACTAACTTCTCATTCATTCAGAATCCTGTATAGAACAAGTACAGATATAACATTGAAACGTGGGCTGCCATTCACAGAAATGGGTGGAGTTTCTCTACCATGTCTAAATAAATTAATCCATTCCAGATAATTTCATATATTTTATTTGTTCATAAAGCAATTTCCTTAAGGCAATTTCTACCTCAAGTCCTGTGTCTCTGATGCAGGCCAATGGGCCAATGTTGAGTGGAACCCGAGACACAAGTACACAGACACTACCCTCTCCTATGAGAAAGAACTACCAACCAGCAGAGATGTTAGCCTAACTTTCTCCAAATTCTCTAATTCTTGCTTCTGCCTCTGTTTCAGTTATGTCTAACGGCATCTTCCTGTAGGTTCTTACACACTGGAGATCACCATTAGCATAACTCCTGAGGCAAAGCTGCAGTTGATATACCTGAAGCTTATGCTTACATGCATCCAGTGAGGACCAAGACCTCGGCCATGTGTTTACAAGATTTCTGAATAATCTTTATACTTCAATAATAGAAAACTATGCTCCTTATTTTCTACTGTATTCTTTTTGTAGAAGTGTACCATGACCCCAGTGATCCATTTCTGATTTTGGTGCTTGACTTCTTCCAAGAAGATTCAAATGATTTTTTTAAGGGTTACGTTATATTCTTGACTTTCTGGATTTGAATTTTTTGCTGGATTTGAAGGTCTTTTTTCTCTTGCTTTATCTTTGCTTTTGGACCTAGACTTTTTTTTTTCAAAAGTATTACACTAGATTTTATGTTACAAAGTGTCCTATAGCAATAGGAATAAAAGTAATGAATTTTGGTTCTCTCTAAAAGTTAAGTCCATTGAAATAAATTGTGTTGACTTTCACCTCCTTGAGTTGGATAATATTACCTAAAAAATACTTCCTTATGATGTAAATATTGTAAGTAATCAATCAGAGTTAAGCAGATTGTATTGAAATCATACTTGTACAGCAAACAAAAGCCAATATAATCTCTGGATTTTCATATTTTTGTTTCAGTTGCTACCTCATAAAACTGTACCATTTAAGAAACCACAAAGTTCAGCTATTTACTGTAATTTATTAATCATATTTCTCTGTGCCAAAATGATTAATGCAAAGCTGTTTTATCAAAATCATTGGTTTCACCTCTATATAGGCTATATATCATAATCATAGCTAGCTGTTGTGAAAACATTTATTATTGAACATAAGGGGTCTTTGGAAACTGAATGTAAAAGAATTAGTGCAATTACATCACTATTATAGGAAAATAATAATTGAAAATATATTTCACACTGCCTGAGTCTTCATTCCATTATATTGGTTTATAAAAACAAATTACAACAAAGTCACTTATTAATGTTACCTATTTATGATTCTGTATAAATGATACAAAAATTCCTAAGTAAGAACAAAGATGAGGAAAGGCATTTTCCAGGTAAACCTAAGTACTCCTGTATAAGAGCTATTTGATTGATTATATATTTCCTCTTACACATATTTTCAATAATCATGATCCTAATGATATTAATTCCAATAGCTAAAGTTAAAAACTTCAGCCAGGTACGGTGGCATGCACCTGTAGCCCCAGCTACATAGGAAGCTGAAGCAGGAGGATTACTTGGGCTCAGAAGTTCTGGACTCTGGTGTGCTGTGCCAATCAGGTGTCTGTCCTAGGTTTGGCATCAATTTGGTGACCTTCCGGAGGCAAAGGACCACCGGCTTTTTTAAGTAAGGGCGAACCAAAACAGGTTAAAAATAAAGAAGGTCAATGCTCCCATGCTGTGTCACTGCATCCCAGCCTGGGCAACATACCAAGACCCTAGGTCTTAAAAAATAAAACATAAAAGTTTAAAACTTCAAAAACATTCCAGTAAAGATGATGCTGAGAATCCAAATGTAATCAACCACCTGCGAATCCAAACAAACAGCAATGATAGACATATCTGTTTAAATGCATTTAAAAGGCATAGTTGTTCATAAAAGCAAGCTATACATCTCCAAAAATGAGGAATGCAACATAAAAAGAACAATGCCTGATACCTGAAGCTGTATGCTTACTGGGCTCTTGGAAATGCGCGCAGAGGTAGATGGTCTGGAATCGTTTTTTCCCTTCTGAGTTAACAGGAATGCAAAATAGGCCATACATATCAGGAGATCAGAGAAAAGCTAAAGGTAGAGCCGGTGACTAGGTTTCCATTCTTCCAGCTCTCCAGGGAAAATATTCTGAAAAGAGTTGAAACTGTTGCCCAGGTCTGTAGTTTGAACTTCTACCTGAAGAAGTGGAAGAAAGCAGAGAAAGCTGCACGACTAGAACCTAAGTGAAGCAGATAAAAAATCAATCAAATCTCAATTCCCACATGACTGGGGCGGAGAGTCATGATGATAAAAACTGTTTCTAACATCAGCCTTCCAGACTGCTAGGTAGAGGATAGAAAGCTGCTGATTGAGGAAGGGATAACTATCTCTCAAAATGAGACAAAAATTAAAGTTTTACAGTACAAAAGGAAAAATACATGTGATATACGTCAGTCTCAAATTGGTCAGCAAAATTTATTCTTGAAGCAACATGAATAATAGAGCAACCTTAAAGGATTTACAAATGAATATTTCTTTCATAGAATCCCCATGAAAATGTAAAATGGTAGAATTACTTTGAAATGGGATGCTTCATTCTATTGCCGTGACTGTTTTGTTTTTGTTTTTTTGGGTTTTTTGTTTTGAGATGGAGTCTCACTACCTCACCCAGGCTGGAATGCAGTGGCGCACTCGGCTCACCGCAGCCTCTGCCTCCTGGGTTCAAGGGATTCTGCTGCCTCAGCCTCCCTAGTAGCTGAGATTACAGTTGTGCACCACCACGCCCAGGTAATTTTTTGTGTTTTTAGAAGAGATGGGGTTTCACCTTGTTGGTCAGGCTGGTCTCGAACTACTCATGACTCTTTTTTACTCACTTTTACTGAGGTGTTGGATTTTTATTTTTCATGAATACTGAAACAGTGTTAAATTATCTTTTTAAGAAAGGTCAAATAGATAAATTTGTATATTCAGTATCATTTAAAAGCTAGATAAATTCATATAACTAACACTTCTCTTTTGAATTATTCATTTACTAACATTATATAGTATATCCTATGTTATACCACTGGGAAGTAGAATAATTTTCCCCATGATGTCTCAAATTTGTTGTGAAGATCTTACATTTATTTATTAATAAAGGTA
Source organism: Homo sapiens (assembly GCF_000001405.40). NCBI lineage: Eukaryota > Metazoa > Chordata > Mammalia > Primates > Hominidae > Homo > Homo sapiens. The sequence goes on along the minus strand of NC_000006.12, from coordinate 95,936,758 downwards.
GCTAAGCAAGTCATTTTATTGAATGTTGGGAAATAAAAATATTACTGTCTATATTCATTATACAAATATATGTATGATGCCATCAAAACATTCTTTATGCTTACAAACCTAAAAGAGTTTTAGAAAACTATATTTTAAATTAATTTTTAAATATTTACTTTTACTGGGATGGGAGTATGATATAATAAAAGCGTAGCCAAAATAATGAATAAGGTGCAAATATTTGACAAAAGTGGGTAAGATAATTTAGACAATGGTAAACACCATATTATTCACTGAACACATTGAAATAGGTGAAATTACCATTTACAGCCAGAGGCTATTTAGTGCTAGTTATTAATACTATTGAAAATTTTAGTTTGAACTGGTTCAATAAAGAAAAACTACTTCCCAACTTAAATGTATAGAGAATTTATTATTAAATTTTTTTTCTTAAACCACATAATCAAGGGAAAATGAATAAGGCAAGAAAATACTGTTCTCAATGGCATGCTGGATAAGAGGATTTTTAATATTGCTTTCTTGGGAAGTTTAGCATAACAAGTCTCCTCACATTTATCTGTAGGGACATGGCTAGACTATGTTACATTATTCCTGAGATCCCTTTCCTAGTATATAGTCTCCCCTTACCCACAGATTTGCTTTCTGAGATTTCAGTTTCTGGGATGAACTGTGGTCCAAAAATTATTAAGTGGAAAATTCCAGAAATAAACAATGCCTAGTTTTTAAATTGTGCACTGTTCTGAGTAGCATGGTGAAATCACGGACCATTCTGCTCCATCTCGCCTGGAATGTGAATCATCCCTTTGTTCAGAGTATCCATGCTGTATACTCTACCCATCCATTAGTCACTTAGTAGCTGTCTTGGTTATCAGAGCTACTCCTGTGGTATCACAGTGACTGTGTTTAAGTAACCCTTATTTTACTTAATAATGGTCCCAGGGTGCAAGAGTAGTGATGTTGGTATATTGTTATAATTATTCTATTTTATTATTAGTTATTGTTAATCTCTTATTGTGTCTAATTTATATATTAAATTTTATCACAGGTATGTATGTATAGGAAAAAACATAGTATATATAGAATTTGGTACAATCCATGGTTTCAGGCATCATCCATGGTTTCAGGCATTTACTGAAGTTCTTGGAACATATTCCCTGTGGATAACGGCGGGGGTGGGGTTATTATGTTCACTCACTGTAAACCAAAACCATCTTTCTCTGACCATTACATGAATCCTCCAGCTTTCTTTGTGAACACCCTTTTAAATTCCTGAAAACTTTGCTTCCTGGCCCTCATCTACATCTCTTGACTTACTCCATTATTTATAATTTTCATCTTTTACCAGTATACTTTATATTTCCAGTTGCCTGGATGTACATTTTACTCTGAGGAGTGGACAAGCTCTGCTAATTCACATTTATATAACTGAAAGTAGACTTCCATTCCTGTTAATATGGCAGAATAGATAATCCCCAAGTAGTCTGACTACAAAGTATGGGTAAATGATTGATAAAACATAACAATTATAATTCAAAATGCATAGCTGACTGGCAAAAAATCGTAGAAAAATGGTAGAAAAATATCAAGAGAAAGCTGAAAAACTGCTTTAATCATGAGGTGTGGATACTCTGTTTTGGTTTTCATGTGGAGACGGGAAAGGCTGCTTTGGGTTTACGTGATTGTGAGTTAGAATGAAACCAATGCATAAAGCTAGAATTTTTGAAAAGCTGCATTTTCCATGACAGGGTGCACTAGAAAAATCTTTTTTGCCATCTAGGATACACTCTCAGTGGGAAATCAAAAAATTCCCTAACAATTAGTACAATGGTCTGCCCTTAAAGTGGTGTTGGAATACTAACATACGTAAAGTCTAATAACATTTAAGCTGATAACTTAATATGAAGAGCGGCCCTGGGATGACAATACCTCCAAGGCGATTAGTAGAAGCACATGCAATATGACTTTACAAACACATACCTTCAGCTAAGGTGTCAGAGGATTTCCACTAAATATGAGCCTACTATCAAAAATTGTAAAATAAAAGCAGATACAGTGTTCTATGAGCAATAGAAAACAACACCAAAGAGAAGTCATAATTAAGGAATTAAAAACACAAGAATGGAGAAGATACAGGAAATAGGATCAGACCAGTTTGGAAAACACCCAAGTAGAACACCTAGAAATGAAGAAATTAAATCAATAAGATAAAAACTGAATAACTTGGTTAAACAGAAGACTAGACACATCCAGAGAATGAGTTAGTAAATTAGGATATAAATCAGAAAAAAAGTATCACTCAGAAGCAATATAAAAGAAAAATTTTAAAAACATGTAGAATAAAAAAGAAATTTCTATACATATCAATGAGACTTCCAGAAGAGATAATAGTGATGTTATGGCAGATGGCACAATTGATAAGACACTAAGAGTGAACGTTACAGAATTGATTATTTTGAATTGGCTATCTGAGAAACCTCAGATTTAGGCAGCACAAGACATCCCAAGCAAGAGTAAAATTTTACTAGTAATTTATCTGAACGTAAAATTCTAGCCTGACAGTTATTTTATCTATCACTTGAAATTTTTTTATTGTCTTTTAAATTGTATTGCCATTGGTATATCTATCCCACTGTTAATTGTCTTTTTGATTTTCAGCTATTAAGACCTCTTTATTTATACTGTTGCTATTTTGTTAACATACATCTATGTATGATTGTTTTCCTATAAATTATGTTTGATTTTTTTATTTCAACAATTTATCATACTTATTTAACTGGATTCTTATTTTATTATCACTGTTGATAAACTTACTGCCATTCTAAAAGTCATCACTTTATTGGCGATACAATATTTCTCTTTGGCTGTTTTTAAGATCACCTTTTTGTCTTTAGTGTTCTGTAGTTTCACTTTGATTTTAAAAACAGTTTTAAGTTTTTAATTTAAATTTAATTATAATTCAAATTAATAATTTTATTATTTTTAATCACGTATTCAATGTAAATTCACATACCGAGAAACTTTTACTGAGGTGTTGGATTTTTATTTTTCATGAATACTGAAAAACATCCTATAGTGGGTTAAGTAGGGCTCCCCTCAATTCTTGTTTACTTGGAAGCTCAGCAGTACATCTACCATTTGATCCAGCAGTCCCACTGTGGGTCCAAAAGAGAAGAATTCATTATATGAAAAAGACACTTGCACACATATGTTTATAGTACCAGAGCTCACAATTGCAAATATATGGAAGCAGCTTAAGTGGCCATTGACTAATGAGTGGATAAAGAAAATGTTGTATACTTTCTTAACAGCATGGATTACTACTCAGCCATTAAAAGGAATGAAATAATGTCTTCTGCAGCCACTTGGATGAAGCTGTAGACCATTATTCCAAGTGAAGTAGCACGGGAATGGAAAACCAAAAACCGTTATGTTCTCACTTATCAGTGAGAGCTAAGCTATGAGTAGGCAAAGGCATACAGAGTGATATAATGGACTTTAGAGACTCATAAGGGGAAGGGTGGAAGGGAGGCTAGGGATAAAAAAACTACACATAGGTACAAAGTACACTACTTGGGGGACAGCTGCAATAAAATCTCAGACTTCACCACTATGTAATTCATCCATGTAACAAAAAAACATTTGTACCCCAAAAGATATTGAAATAAAAATTAATAAAAAAAAAGAAGGTGAGAATCATTGAAAATAACGTCTTTGCAGATGTAATTGGTTAAGGACTCATGATGGAACATCCTGGGTATAGGATGGATCCTAAATAACTGGTGTCTTTATAAAGAGGAGAGAACACAGAGAGACACATAGAAAAAGGGCCATATGAACACAGGGACAGAGATGGAGTTTTGCTGCCACAAACCAAGGAACGCCAGGACTAGCCAACTGGAACCTAGAAGAGGCAGAGGCTCTCTCCTAGAGCCTTTGGAGGGAGCACAGCCCCTCTGGTACCTTGATTTCCGACTTGTAGCCTCCAGAAATGTGAAAGAATAAATTTGTTTTAAGCCGTCAACTATGTTGTAATTGCATGGCAATCAGTACGCATTCCAACCACTATTTTAAAAATGTTAAATCTATGGTGATGGATTCTAATTAGACATGTTTTAAACCTTCACATTCTGCTTTCCCTATATCTTAATACATCTCCTTATTTATTTTTACCTCCTTATCTTCATGTGATGCATTCTATCCTTCAGATAAATCTTTCAGTTTATTTACTCTTCATTCAGCAATGTCTAATCCTGTTTAACCTTTTTACTTTTCAAAAAAATTCAATCCTTATGGTTTTCATGGATTTTAAAAAATGCCTATTCATTGCTTATGAAATATACTTTTCCCACATATATGCTCTAAATTCTGTATCTAAAAGTTCTGCAGTTTGGGGGTACCTAATTCTGTTATCCATTACTCATTTTTTGTGATCTAGTGGCTTGCCTTATCATGTGCCTGTTATTATTTTTTTATTAGCTTTTTGCTTGCCCTTAATCTGTGGGATGTCAAGTGACTGTATATAAAGGAAAGTTTCCCTCAGAAAAATATTTCCTTCTGTTGATATCCAAGGATCACTACTGCCTGGTATGACTTTAGGCTTACCCCAGAGTCCTTGCTCAGGGCAAATTTCAGGCTTACTTCCCTCAAATTAGTACTGTTTAAGGCTCAGTGTGAAGATTACACTGTATATCATATATATATATATATACACACACACACATATGTATATATACATATATATACACACACATATATACAGATAGAGTATATATATATATATATACACATACATATATATATACCTGAATCTAAAAAGATTCTTATGTACCCCCATGTACCCATGAGTGAATTGTAGTCCTCACTAGCTCAGTTGTTATTAGTTGTAACTATGTAACCAAGTATAGAATTGGTCCCAAGTATACAAGAGGTGTTTTATATTAGAAACCCTTGGATATAATTTACCATGTTAATAGAATCAATGAACAAAAATAAGTGTGACCAACTACAAAGAAGGGATATTATTTAGTATAATGCAATACATGTTTATAGTGAAAAATCTTATTAAACTAGAACTATAAAGGAATTTTCTTACCCTACTTATGGCAGCTACTCCGAGCCTACAGAAAAAATTATCTTTGTAAGAACGGTAGATATGCATTTCATTTAAAGTTGCTGTGGTAGACAGACTTCTAAGATGACTCCTAGTGACCTTCAGTATTCTATAACCCACTCTGCTTTGAGTGTGGATGGGAGTTATGACTACAAAGAGATATCACTCCCATGAGTCTGTTAATTTATTTAGTAAATGGGAAATTATTTTTGGTTGGACTGACCTAACCAGACAATGCCTTTAAAGGCAGAATTTTCACCTGCTTGTCACAGAAGAAGAAGTGAGAGAGATGAACTTTGGTGAGCCTTAATGAAAGCAAATATTATAAACAGCCTATAAAGTTTATTAAAGTTCCTGCCACATGGCAAGGAACTTTAGGTGGGTTCTAGGAGTTGAGAGTAGTCCCAGGTAATAGCTCATAGGGAACTGAGGACCTCAGTCCTACAATCACAAGGGAATAAATTGTACCAGAACCAGTGAGCTTGCAAGACACCAAGCTCCATGTGAGAACTGTAACCCTGGCCAACAATTTGATGTCAGCCTAGTAAGACCCTAAGGAGAAAAACTCCAGCCACACTGTGCTCAGATGTTTGACCTGCATAATCTGTGAGATAAATTAGTGCTGTGTCAAGCCACAAGGTTTATAATAATTTATTACACAGCAGCATGAAAATGAATATAATCAGAACTTATATCAGTATATCGGCTATCCCAATTGATTCAATTCTTTTCTATATCCGAGGTTTAGTCTGGGACTGTAGAACCTTCTGTGATGATGGAAATGTTCTATTTCTGTGTGGTACAATATTGCAGCCACTTAACTCATGTGGCTATTGAGCAGTTGGAATGTGGATAGTAATTGAGGAACTAAGTAGTTAATTTTATTTGAATCTAATTAATTTAAATGTAAATAATCATATGTAACTAAAGGCTATTATTGAGGACTGTGCAATTCCAGCCAATGCAGTGAGTAAATAAAAATAAGTCAAAGCCATAATTCTTATAAAGAAAGTAATACACTTTTATACTGATAGGATTGCTTCTGTAGATGATCAAAAAGAACCGAGATGCAAACTTTTGAAACTACTCAGGGAGTTCTACAATTTGCTATACATATATAAAACAAAGATGCAAAAAAAAAAAAAAAAAAGGTGTTTCTGTTCACTAGTAAAAATCCAATAGTATTAAAATTTTGAAAATCCTGGTTTTTAGCAACCATAAAAATTAAAATCAAGATTGGGCGCAGTGGCTCTTGCCTGTAATCCTAGCGTTTTGGGAGGCTGAGGTGGGCAGATCACTTGAGCCCAGGAGTTCATGACCAGCCTGGACAATATGGCAAAACCCTGTCTCTACGAAAAATACAAAAATTAGCAGGGCATGGGGTTGGGAGTCTGTAGTCCTAGCTACTTAGGAGACTGAGGTGAGAGCATCACCTGAGCCCGGGGGGCCGGGGCTGTGGTAAGCCGTGGTTGTACCACTGCACTCAAGCCTGGGTGATAGTGAGACCCTGTCCCCCCCGCCAAAAAAAAAGCATTAAAATTATAATCTATATTTAAATCCAGCTAAATATAATAGAAATATCTTATATAAAATATTGTAAAGAGTGTTTGAAGAGTATGAAGTCAGACTTAAGTGGTGAGATATATTCTTTCCTGAATGGGAAGCCTCAATACCACAAATATATCACATTTCCCACGATTAATCTATACATTTAACATAATCCAGTTAAAATATCGGCAAAGTATTGGTAGATTTTAACAAGTGGTAGTATTATAAATACTTATTATGATGTTATAAAAATCTAAATATGGTATTGGTGCAAGGATAACAAATACAGGGGCAGGGGAGTCACTCGCAGACATAAAATCTTTCTTAATATAGAGGTGGCGGCTGGGCGCGGTGGCTCACACCTGTAATCCCAGCACTTTAAGAGGCCGAGGCGGGTGGATCACAAGGTCAGGAGATTGAGACTGTCCTGGCTAACAGGGTGAAACCCCATCTCTACTAAATAAATACAAAAAAATTAGCCAGGTGCGGTGGCGGACGCCTGTAGTCCCAGCTACTCTGGAGGCTGAGGCGGGAGAATGGCGTGAACCCGGGAGGTGGAGCTTGCAGTGAGTCGAGGTTGTGCCACTGCACTCCAGCCTGGGCGACAGAGCGAGACTCCCTCTCCCTCTCAAAAAAAAAAAAAAAAAAAAAAAAAAGAATACACACACACACACATATATATAGAGGTGGCATTGAACATGAGTCAGGAAAATATTAACTGTCTAATAAACGGATAATTGGCTATCCATATTAAAAAGCAGAAAATTGTACCTTGACCTCATGCAGCGTGTTGTACAGAAATTTCAGCTTAACTCCCACATTTCATAATTAAATTTAAAACAGTACAACCAAACGATATAAAAATAACAAGAAACTCTATGACTTCAAGGCAAGGAAGAATCTCTTAGACAAGACATACAAAGTACACACCCCACAAGAACAGACTGATAAATTAGACAATAAAATTGGAAACTTCTGTATGACCAAAGATACAATAAACAAAGTAAAAACCCACCCACAGTGAATGAGTCAGTGAATGAATGAAACCTGTATCACAAGTATTTACATAGGTAACCAGTAACTCTGAGCTAATAAAGTAAGGTGCAAAATGAAAGCTTTAAATACATTTCGAAGATGCATAATCAATACTTTATGGAACCACACAAATTTAATGAAGGCATAAAAACATAGACTGTAAACACGAAATAACTTTAGACTCATGCCTGCCTTTAATCATGGGGGATGGGAGTGAATGGAATAGGGGGGTTCAAAGACTTCTGTATTATTTCTTTATATGAAAACTGTAAAAACAAATACGGCAAAATTACAGCATTTGTCAAATCTATATGCTTAAAAGAGGTAGTCACATTAAAAATTCAGCCTTTTCCAGGTATCTCCCCAGCCAATAACATATCTATTCTTAAGATATTGTTTGATCGCTTGGGATCTCTAATCTGGTATTCTTTCATTTACTTTTATTATTTTTCTCTATTTTCATATGCAAATTGGTCTTTACATACTGTGTCCGATCATTGTATTTCTTTCCCATAATCTATGCTAGTTGTTCTTCAACTAATGCTGGAATATCTACAAGTGTCTTCAGTTTTTCTACTTTCAGTAATTGCTGTTACAACTCAAGCTTCGTATGACTTCAAGAATGCTTTTCCTTATATAGCATTTATACCCTACGAATTATGAAAGAAATTTATGGCACCTCCCATTGCCCATGTCTTAAATTTAGAGTCAGTTGTTTAGTGTATTCTTTTTAGACATTGCAAATGTAAGTGCTATGCATAATTTGTCTATTATTTTCTAACAATTTCTCTTGCATAAATTTCTCTCCCATGCTTTTCTACCAAATCACATCCATTAATTCTTGAACTGGCCAGAAATAATTTTATTCTAATCCAGCTTGTTCTGTATGTCATCTCATTTAATGAATGAGTCACCTAATACGGGTTAAGCACTGGAGTCATAATATGCATATGCATGGTCATCATTCTTATTAGAAACTTCTATTACTATTTGTTCAGAAGGTCTTGCTTTCTATCAATAAGATGCTATTGATCTCTTATATATGTCTTAGATCCTAAATCAAAGTGCTAGTTACTTCAACACTGTAAGCAGTTTTTCTGTCCTTTTCTCTATTCCCCCAATCTGTCATCTACTTTTTAAAAGTATATGCAATTAGCAAATAATTGATAATTGATTTAAATCTAATTCATCTTCTTATGTGTGTCACACTTCATGGGCCTTGGAAAGTAAGTGCACCAAAGTAAATCTACTAAGTGATTGAATGATGACTTGTGTTCAGCCTCAAACCTCACCTGCGGATCTACCCACCTAGTATTTGTTAAATTTGTAAACTTGAAACAGGGTTTAATATTAAATATTCGATAGGATGTCTTGTCCCAGATGGGTCCTTAGCCAATAATATACCTCTCCTTGATTCCTCCAATTATAAGACTAGTTGAATTGTTGGGACCTCTGGTCTAGCAATATTTAATTCACTTTTATTGTTTGCCTTCACTCTTACATGTAAATCATCTGGCGAGAAAACATCTACTTTAAGCCTTCATATCATAGGACAGATCGTGTAAGTGCACTAGATCTATCTAAAATTTCTGCTCTCATGAAGATCCATCTTTGAGATTTACATCTTAGAATATCATTATCATTAAATTCTATTTAATTTCTTAAATTCACTTCAACCTGCATTCTAAATGGTCACTGAGCTCTCCTATTTGTACTTAGACAAATGCTAACATTCCTTCAGAAAAAAAAAAGTCTTTGCTTCCCTGTCATATTTTATTCACTGTCTTCATAGCCCATTTCATTTCACTACTGACTAATCATTTTTTAAAAACCCAAAGAACAAAACACATGCTCAGCAGGGCCTAAACGTTTTCAAACTCATTGCACAAAGTATAGGACCCTGAGAGAAGGTATAGCACCAGGTGGTAGCTGCAGAGCCAGCATCTGGGCTCCACGATAATCACCTTGTGTGAATCACAGCAGAGGAAGAACAGCATTACTAGATGAGGTGAGCCTCAGACACTTCCATCTGTTTTTCAAACTGCACTGTGTTTATCAGGGTTGCAGTTTGTGACATCTGGCAGTTTTTCTTATACTTCACGTGTCTTTGAGAAGAGAAAAAGAAAAAGAGAGACAACAGAAAGTACCATTCTTGGCCAGCGAAAGACATTTGTGATTAAATTGCTGTATCTTTAAAGTCTTCATATATTGTGTACATGGTTGAAGGGCAAGAACTTGAAGGTGAAGTGTTTCTAAATAAATTGATTTTCTTATTGCTTCTATAGTCTATAAATGTGCTGAGCTACTATTACTGCTATTTTTTAAGGCTCTCACAGATACAAGTTCTTAAATACATCTTAAAACATATGTATACATTTTATAGCTGTGGAAAATCAATTAAGGTAAATCTGAATGAAATTGTTTTGAAGATATCTCCAAAAATCTCCCCATATTCTAGTAGGTATCTAGACAAAATTTTAGTAGTTTATGTCAATTTAAATCCCTTTTCAGGAGCCACTTACGAGTTTTTGACCAGTCTACAATTGACTGTACAATGTATTAGTGTCAATAAAAGAAACTGTAACTATGAAATTTGGCTCCAAGAACTCAATTTCTTTGAAGTTTGGGTGTAGTAAACAAACATATAACCTCAGGGGCAATAAAAACTTTGGTAATTATCAAATTGTATTGATTCTATATGCACTGAATATCTGTCAAAATACCAGCAATTTTTCATAGAAACATCTTAAATTAAAATTTAGGAATCTATGAAGACTCAGGCTCTGCTAACTTTCCAGAGCGCCATTTGAGATCTCTTCCTCTTATTGATCTTCACGCTGTATTTTACGTGGGGATGCAAGAAGAAAATTGTTTTGCTTGTGAAAATTGCCCATATCTGGTTTCATATTGGAACATTGAAAACAACACTGATAGCAAATGTGTCCCTGACTCTGATAGTGCAAACAAGAAAAAGTGAAGAACCTGTAAAATTCTAATATAAGCACATATCAAAATGGAGATCCCACTCCTCCAATAGTAAGGTGCCAGTTATTGAGACATTTTTAAACAGAAAGGGAAGTATTTTCAAACCAGGTGCCTTGATATTACTGGACAGTGCTTGATGAAGGAATATTGGCAGATTTATAATCTCCAAATTTTTTGTTGTTTTAATCATTGTTGTTACTTATTTATTGATCATTTTAACATTTATTCTGGGCCGGGTGCAGTGGCTTACGCCTGTAATCCCAGCACTCTGGGAGGCCAAGGTGGGCAGATCACGAGGTCAGGAGATCAAGACCATCCTGGCTAACCCGCGGAAACCCCGTCTCTACTAAAAATACAAAAAAAAAAAAAATTAGCCAGGCGAGGTGGCGGGCACCTGTAGTCCCAGGTACTCGCGAGGCTGAGGCAGGAGAATGGCATGAACCCAGGAGGCGGAGGTTGCAGTGAGCCCAGATCGCGCCACTGCACTCCAGCCTGGGTGACAGAGCAAGACTCCATCTCAAGAAAAAAAAAAAAAAAAAACCATTTATTCTGTTAGTATTAGTCAGCTTGAACTTTCCCAAGTTAAGATTCCACTTTTTTTTCTTTTCTTCTGTCCTTGTAACATATACCGTATTTGTTATTTTATTTATAATAGGGGACACCAAGTAGCGTAAGAGAATATGACTAATGTCCTTTATTATTATCCTTGTCTTTAAAAGTTTTATCAGCAGCAACTGACTCTTAAGAGCTCTAAGATGTTCATTAAAATAAGCGTTGTGTGAGATTCATTGTCCAGCTTATTCTTTGAGAGGAACTCCTTTTTTTTTTCACATGGGATTACAGGATATTTCTTTCTTTCTTTTTAAATTATACCTAAGTTCTGGGATACATGTGCAGAACGTGCAGGTTTGTTATATAGGTATACATGTGCCATAGTGGTTTCCTGCACCCATCAACCCGTCATCCACATTAGGTATTTCTCGTAATGCTATCCCGCCCCTTGCCATCACTGGTCATTAGAGAAATGCAAATCAAAACCGCAATGAGATACCATTTCACACTGGTTAGAATGGTGATCATTAAAAAGTCAGGAAACAACAGATGCTGGAGAGGATGTAGAGAAATAGGAACGCTTTTACACTGCTGGTGGGAGTGTAAACTAGTTCAACCACTATGGAAGACAGTGTGGCGATTCCTCAAGGATCTAGAACTAGAAATGCCATTTGACCTGCAATCCCATTACTGGGTATATACCCAAAGGATTATAAATCATTCTACTCTAAAGACACATGCACATGTATGTTTATTGAGATGAACTCTTTGCTTTTCCAGTCAACTCATTAGGACAAATCAATCACAAAAAACACCTTTGTATGTCAGCAAGTGCTTTTCTCCTTAATGCACTGGTGCTTTCCTCCTGTAGCCTCTTGCCTGGGAATATATTGCCATTTCCAATACTTTCCCTTATTTCCTCACTTCTACCACCTTTCATTTCACTCTCATCCTTGCCCATTTAAAAATTAAGGAACTTCGAGTTCAGATTCTGGGGAAGGTGCGTAAGTACACTTCACTCAGTTTCTCCCACTGAAAACAATCCGAAGTTCCAGACAGAATGCGTGGAACAGCAATCCGAGGCCCTAAAAAGCACACAGTAGCAGTTGTATTGGGGAAGGACATCAGAATTTCAAAATTCAAAGTTCTGTGGAACTGGTGGTAAGTTTATAGTGTTTTCTTTCTGCCTCTGGTATTACCCAACCTGGACTAAAAACAGGCCCAAGTCTGGAAATGCATATACCAAGCACAGATAGAAAGAGGTCTATGAGAAATATGTTCTCCAATTTGAGGAGGAAGAAACTACCGAAGGTTGGAAAAAATGAAAGAAATGGCTTGTTTTGTTTTAACTTTTTTTCCTTCTCTCCTGTTCTAGCTCCCAGGCAGCTGTGATGGTGGGGAGGCAGCTGCACAGTGATGGCAGTGGCTGCCAGGCAGTCCCCCACAACCCTGAGAAAGGAAAATTCTGCTCTCTGGTAAGAAAATCTGGGGTCCCCAGAGCATGAAGCAAATTTCCATTTTTTCCCCCACCCTCTGTCCTCCCACCATTTGGTCCTAAATACAAACACGCTTTTAGGAAGTGTCTGGAAGAGGAAGAAGTTAGGTTTCTGGAGAGAGGACAGGAAAGGGTGGCCTCAGGAAGGTAGAAATTGTTGTGGAGGTCACAGAAAGAAGAAAGATCAACAGAAATCCCATAAATTGTGTAGGAATTCCTCAGCTCACCTCCAAACTGCACATTCATGGATCTCACCCTAAATATGATATCAAAGATTTTGGAAACTGAGCCCAGGGTAGGCTTCCACTCACTGTTTGGCCACTGGGGGGCACAAATGTGGTGTGATCTAAACAGTACCGCAAATGCTCTGAAGACTGAACTGAGGGAATAAGAACCCACAGAAAGCAAGTTGGTACTTGTGGCCTAAACTTCTACATAATCAGATTGCCTAATACAAATCAAAAAATCAATATCCTCTTTAGGATTTAAATGAGACACAAAGTCTGAAAACATAATATTTAAAATATCTATAATTTGGTTTCAAATTACCTTGCCTAAACAGTACCAGGAAAGTCATAAGAGAAAATACAATCACAAAATGACACAGATGTTGGGATTATCAGACGAAGGCCATAAATTAGCTATTATAAACATTCCCCACCTGGCTAACAAATGACAAAACCAAGACCTGAACTCAGCTCATGCCATTATATACTATGCTCGTTATCTTCTTCATTCCCAATTCAAGATAAACTGTCTCAGAAGTACAGACTCCGTGTGAAAAATTGAGCATGAAGCTAATGCATAAACTATATTATTAAGAGAATAAGGCTGAGCAACTAAGGGAAATGTATTTGTCATAGCCATGCAGGCCCTGTCATAAGTACTTTTTGATATAGTGATTTTATATTGTTCTCTCAGTTTTTGGGACATTGCAAATTAAAAGAGGATTTACCAATAAATTTACAAGTTAATTAAACTAGAGTACACACTTGTATTTGCAATGATGTAGTTGTGTTTAATATAAGTCATGGAAGTCATGTTTGTCCATTTTATTCCCTTAAAGCAGAAACTAGCAGCCTGTGCCCCAACTCTGTCTGGTGGCCCATTTTTACGCAATATGAGAGCTAATAATTTTTTTTTTTACATATTTAAAGAATCTGTAGAAAGAGGAGGATGAGAGCGAGGGGCAGGAGGAAGATGTGGAGAAGGAGAAAGATGAAAGAAGAAGCCTTCATAAATACTGTATGTGGCCCATAAACCCTGAAGTATTTAACATCTGGTCCTTTACAGAAAACCTTTGCCAACCCCTGGTCCAAAGAAATGGAAACACCTTGATAGGAACAATTTCATATGTTTTCTGTTTCTTTCTAGTGTTTTAAATTCATGTCACAAGGGAGCACCTAATAAGGACCTGACTCACAGTGGACATTAAAACAGTGATTATGTGAACTAATTGGTGGATAAATCGTTGGCTCTCTGCTTCAAGCACAGCAAAACAAGTCAGCTTCTTGGATATCTTTTATGGGAGATAATATGGCTATCCAAATGTTCACCAATCCCTCACTTATGCCTTGTGCCCACTCATGGGAGACATATAATCTCATGCCCCAGTGATGTTGGGCTTTGACATGTGACTTGCTTTGGCCAAGAGAATGTAATCAGAGATAACATATGCCACATTTTATTAGAAGCTGTGAGAGATATTTTACATTTCTATCAGTCACCTTTAATTTCTGCCCTCTGGAATTTTAAAAGTATGTTGTAGTTGTGGCTAATATTTCCACTTGGATACTGCAATAAGAAAACACAAAGAGACAGGCCAAGCACAATAAGACCAACCAACCAAATCCAGAAATGCTCAGCCAAACTGAAGCTGACCCTCGGCATTCATGTGATGGGTGAGAACTACAAGGTGTAAGCCTTTGAGATTTTGTGGTTCTCTGGCTGAAAGAAAAGTTGATTGATATCCTTCTATAAAACAAAAGATTCAGAAGGATCTAATGGATTAGGTTTTAGTATATTATTGCAAATCATAATGAATTCTTAGATACATATTTTTTAACCATAATAGGAAGAATAGCTATTTATACAACTCATATTTACAAGATGATTTCATATTTTTAGTTCATTTTCTGCTGTGTAGAAATGTAATGGTTATAATATGGTGCCCTTTCATGCTCATCAAGCACTCTTTTATCTCACTAATGAAGGGCAAAAGTGATGGACATATGTTGTTACTAGAATAAAAGGCCACCTTACACTCAAGAAAATTAATGTATTACTGTGATAACTTTGTTCTCTATTAAAAATGAATCATTCTTGAATCAGAATTTCTTTACTTTGGAAGTTAGTATTTCACCCTTATATCAATTTAACTTTGTAGAAATATGACTAGAAATTAAATGGCATAAAAACTGAGAAACAAATTTATACAGAAAAGATTTACAATTTATAATGAGTTGTGCCAAGTAGGAAATATTTTAACCTCATAAGGATAAGTGTGAAATCAAGAAATTTGTAGTCAAAGGTGGTTCATCCTATAAAAATAAAAATATATAGGAGAATACTGATGAGAAAAGAAAATTAAAATATCCAGAAATTTTCATGTAGCTTATTTGAAGTCACAAAATGTGACAAAAATACCATAAAATAAAATGTGTAATTCAGGGCTCCAGAAATGGCCATGGTGCTGATAGTTGACAGCTGTTGTTTTTGCCTTCCCAGCACTCTCCCACTTTTTAATGTTAAGAGAATTCTAATTCTGTTTTGGGAAACATCCTCTCCTCTTTCACTTCAGTAGCCCTAGTGCTATAGTGTCATTCCTCTTTTAAATGTGGGCAATGTGAGCCCAATAAATCATAGTCTCATATGACCCTCACCACAGGCATTTCTTTAGGACTGGCATCTGAGCCAAGAGAGGATACTCAGAGCAGACAGGAATCTGAGGAGTGAAAGAAACTTTCTTCAGCTATTAAAGTTGAGAGAAGATAGCAGTAAGATGGGAGCAGCCGGTGTACATCTAGTCAGCAGAAATGGCAAGCCAGCCTGAGAACTCCACTAACACAAAGGAAAGCAAAGCTCAGAGAAGGCAAGGGACAGACCAAGTTCTGATGATGCCATATAATCCCACACCCTCCCAAACAGGATACACCTGATTTTTTAACCTTGTTTTCCTTTCTCTTGCAATTTCAATCCCTGATAGATACAGTGCTCCTGGGGGTGGTTGAGGCATTTGAAGATGAATATTTTACAATTAGACTTTCCCTTCACGTCTGTATTTCAGTAAACCCATAAATAACATATTTCAGAAGTGGTTGGATTCTTGTGATGTTTCTCAATTTAAGTTTCATTTTTGCAACCATGTCCTCTAGAGGAATTCCAGCAAATGGCTGGCAGTGAAGTTTGGCATGCAAACATATGAGGACTGTATCTGAAAATCTCCTTTGAATATTGATTCATCAGATGATTAATCTCTAATTTTTTAATTAAAAAAAGCAGGCTATATTATTAGTACAAAAAGAGTTTTTTTCATTTTGTAAATTTTTATTTTGGGAAAAAAGTCAAACCTACAGAAAAGTTGGAGGAATTTTACTACAGGCACAATGCAACTTGTACCTAGAGAAATTTAGACATTAAATTTTTCCCAAAATTATTTTCTTTCTCTAAATACATATGCTTTTTTTTCTTTTGCTGAACAATTTGAAAATAATTTGTAGGCATTTCATAACTTACCTGACAAATATGTTAGCAGGACTCTCCTAAGAATAAAAACATTCTTCTCTATAACTTCTATACCAATGTTGCATCTAAGAAAATTAACTCTAATTTTAAAATATCACCTAATATACTGTCCATCTTCAAAATTCCCTAATTGTTCTAAAATTGTCTTTTAGGATCTTTTTGTAAAACTCCAGGATCCAATTGTGGTGTGTAAATTGAATTTGGTTATGTCTCTTTAGTTTCTTTTAATGTTGAACTGTCCCTTATATTTTTTCTCGTTATATTGAATTGTTGACCATTCTAGGCCTCTGGTCTTTTACAATGTGTTCCTTTCTTGTTTTTTCTTATGTAAATTCAGTTTAATAATTTTGGCAAGAATAGTACACAGTTGCTATGTATATTTCTTGTTGTTTCACATTAAGAACATTATATCAAGTTGTCCTACCATTGATGATTCAAAGTTTGGCTGCTAAATCTCCGAATTATAAAGAAAAATTCTTTTCTATTAGTAATTAATATTATACTTGTGTGATATCTTGAATAGGTAGGAAAGTCCAGTTTTCCAACAATCCCCCACACAATGGTTTTAGCATTTGTTGATAACGCTCAGAGAAGGCAAGGGACTGAACAAGTTCTGATGATGTGTTTTCGTTTTCGTTTGAATAAAGTTCATTTTTAGAATTCAATCATTTTTTCCATATTTGTTAGATGTCCTTTATCTATAAAGATAAAGAAGACGTTACTTCCATTCCTGCATCTTCATCATACTCACACACATAATTAACCTTTTTCATTATTTTCTGTTTATCTTTTCTGTGTGTGTGATGTATTACATATTATACATTTTAAATAATATATAATAGAGAACATTTATTTGTACACATACACACACACACAAATTTCTTTTATGCTCATTCACAAAGATACCACAGTATGTACACTTTTTTGAGGCTTTTTTTTCACTTAACCATGTATCTTGGAAATACTCCATATAAGTTAATAGCTAGTTATCTTTTTATTGTTCTGTAAATTATTTAATCTGTCTTCTATAGATGGGCATTTCGTTTTTATCCAATATTTTCTATTTTAATTAATGCTGCAGTGAATAAACTTTTGCATATATTGTTTTGTTATTTGCAGGAAGGTATATACAAGCAAAGTCTTAGAAAGAGGATTTCTGGATCAAAGTGTAAATGCATCGGCAGCTTTGTTAGATATTGCCACATTGTGTTCAACAAGGGTTTTACCATCAACAGTTATGAGTGTCTGTTTTCCCAAAGCCTAGCCAATAGTATGTGTTTTCAAGGCACTGATTTTCTGCTAATCTGGTAGGTAAGAAATAGCATAATGGTGTAGTTTTAATTTGCATTCCTATTATTGTCAGTGAGTTAGAGTGCCTTTTCATATGTTCAAGGACCATTTTTATATACTTTCTCTAAACTCTTCATTTTTCATTTTCCCATGTTATTTTCACTTTATTTTCAATAACTCTTTTTAAATGAAAGATATTAGCATTTTATTTTCTGTGATGTAAGTTGCAAATATTTTTGTCCAGCCTGTCTTTCAATTTTTCTGTTTTAGCATGCATTTTAAAATTTTTAATGAAGTTGAATTTATAATTTTTATATAGCTACTTGATAGTGAATCATAATTAGAAATGTCTCCACACACATTATAAAGAAAGCCAAGCATGTTCCCGTTTAGACTGTTGATCCAAGTAGAGTGTTTTCACGTTCTACTAGATCAATAATGGATCCAATTTTTTTCTTTTCTAAATGTCTATCCAGTTTTCCAAACACTATGTTTTAAAAAGACTATATTTTTTCCAGTAGCCTAAGATACCATATATAATATTTACTAAATCTTCATTTGTACTTAGGTCTATTCTGAGCTTTCCATACAATTTTGTTAATCTATTAATATATTCTTGAATCTGTATCATGCCATTTTGATTATAGAGACTCTATAGTATACTTTTTAAAAATAGACTTTATTTTTTAGGCCAGATTAAGGTTCACAGCAGAAGTTACAGAGCTTTCCCAAATACTCCCTACACCGACAGATGCACAGCCTCCCTCATTATCAACATCCCCCATCAGAATGATACAATTGCTATAATTGATGAACCTAAATTGACTACTCATTATTACTCAGAATCCATAGTTTACACTGGGGTTCACTCTTGGTTTCGTGCATTCTGTGGGTTTGGAAAAGTTCATAATGCTATATATCCATTCTTATAACATCATACAAAGTAGTTTCAGTGCTCTAAAAATCCTCTGTGCTCCAGCGATTTGCCTCTCCCTTCTCCTAACCCTTGGTCTTTTTATTATCTCCACAGTTTTGCCTTTTCTGGAATGTCATTTAGTTAGAATCATATGGTATGTAGCTTTTTTAGATTGGATTGTTTCATTTAGTCATTTGCATTTGAATTTCCTCGATGTCTTTTCATGGCTTGATAGCTCATTAAAAAAAATCAAATAATATTTTATTGTCTAGATGTACATATTTTATTTATCCGTTCACCGACTAAAGTTAATCTTGATTAATTTCATGTTCTGAAAATTATAAATAATTGTGTGCATTTTAATATCTAGCAGTACTACCTAATTGCACTTATTTTTAAATGTTTACTTAAATATTATTTCTTGTTATTTCTTCTACATAATATATAAATTAAATGTAACACTAATAAAAATAAAAGAATCAGCATATGTATGGATGTTGAGACATATCCATGAACAAGGAATTATTGGATCTATACATTGTTCAAGATTGGTCTTAAAGAGTGGTTTGGAGATTTCTTCTTATAGGTTTAAGTATTTCTAGAAAAGATTTAAGTTCATTTAAGCATGTTACTATTTTTATTGTTGTTATAAATTGTTTTCTGATTATTTTTTGTTTATATAAGGATTATTGATTTTTGTGTGCTAACTCAGAAGTTTTGCTCTTATACAACAGTTATTGCAATCCCTGTAATACTCCCTTTGTTGAAAAAAATTTACTTCTGCTATTGAGTTCCCTTTCTTTTCTAAAATGAACTTACCACCGGCACAGTGACTCATACCTGTAATCTCAGCTGAGGCAGGGGGATTGCTTAAGGCCAAGAGTTGCAGACAGGCCTGGGCAACAGAGAGAGACTCCATCTCTAATAAGTAAATAAATACATAAAATAAACTCATTTTCTCCCTGGTACTTATTTTTTTATGTCTACCTTATAATTGAACACCCATAGATCACAATCACTTGGTGCTTAATAAGAAAAACGTATTCAGTGCATGATAATTACATTTGTGTGTATCCAATTCTATTATTTCCATAAGCTAATTATAAAGTTGGACATATGTATCTCTGAGAAAATAGTGACCTCCAAATGTAATAAAATTTAAAAACATTTTAATAATTATTTGGTAAAATATATAAGCTTAAATGAAAAATTAATGTTCTGTTCAAAAATCACACATTTCTAATAAAATGCCATTCTCAAACTGCAATCCTATGAACATGCAATGTTTTGTGTATGCACAACCATAGCAAGTAGGAACCATGCAGGATCATTTGAGCAGTGCTGAGAAGATAAGCTTTGCCCATGTATCTGTTCCCTAACCTCCACAAGCCTCAGACTGAAAATCAGATTTAGAAGTATTAATAGGTCTAGTTATCTCTAATAAATACACACATTACATGCCTCATTAGCCAGGGTAAGCTTTTCAGATTAGTCTATTCACCACTTTGGACTGAAGACATGAGGTCTAGGGCACACCATTTTCACATGGGATTATTGTGACATAAACTGGATGCTATATTGCAGCCCAGGAGATTGTGTGTTGTAGCTCTAGTAAGACAAATAAAAATAAATGTTGATTTTTAAGGAATTTGTTTTGGCACAAATCTTCAAGACACACAAATCAAAGGGTTGCAGAGATACTGTGTCATAATTTTTGAGTATGTATGGGTCCCGAAAAAAAAAAAAAGAATCAAGAAATCTGTGTTCAGCTGGGTGCAGAGGCTCACGCCTGTAATCCCAGCACTTTGGGAGGCTGAGGCGGGTGTATCATCTGAGGTCAGAAGTTCAAGACCAGCCTGGCCAACATGGTGAAACCCCATCTCTACTAAAAATACAAAAATTAGCTGGACTTAGTGGCGCACACCTGTAGTCCCAACTACTCAGGAGGCTGAGGCAAGAGAATCGCTCGAATCTGGGAGGTGGAGGTTGCAATGAGCCAAGATCACACCACTGTACTCCAGCCTTGGTGACAAGAGCAAAACTCCGTCAAAAAAAAAAAAAAAAAAAAGAAAGAAAGAAAGGAGAAAAAGAAATTTGTGTTCTAAACAAGGAATACTGTCTTAGCAAAAGAGTTCTGAAATGACTTTGAACTTCTCATATTGGTCTCTCTCGTAAAGTATGGGGTGTACCTCTTGGAAAAGAAATCACTCTTAAATGGAGAGCAACAAGCCACATCAATTATTTCCAAGAATCTGATCCATTATTACGGGACAGGTGTACTGAAGGTATCTGGGTGCAAATCATGTTCCCTTTTCTGTGAATGCTCTCTGATGTCAGAGGCAGTCACCATTTGTCATGTCAAACAATGGATGTGGCAATAACTACATTTCCTGATATGTGAACCAAAAAAATTGGAAAACTGGACTATAGAGAGGGTCAGGGACAAAAAGAGGAAAAAACAAGGGGCAGCAGAGTAAAGCAAAATCCAGGGTCAAAGCAGAAGTCCCAAGAGGACTTAGACCTTCCCTTTATTGTGACTTTGCATATTATATTATAAAGAATTACATTTTTGTGCTTATGAAATCCAGATTCAATTTCTGTTGCAAATTAATACAATAAGGGCAGTGTTCAATGTGGTACACTTTCTGCCACTTTGATTGACCTCAGTCTAATTCATTCACTTCTTCAATAAGTATTTTGGAGAAATACTAGTATTTTCCAAGCTTTGTGCTCAGCATTGTTGATAGTGGTGCACAAATAAACACAGTCTTCACTTTTATGGTATTACCAATATAGTGAAGGAGGCAAGGATTTAAGAAACAATTAACGAGTGAAGAAGTGTAAATAGCATAAGATATATTTGATAAAATAACAGGTATCATAACAATTTATAACATGACTAATAGACTAAATTAGTGGTTTTTAAAGAGGTGAAGTGACATTAAATCTAGGCTTGAATGATGACTAGGAAGCGGCCAGGTGATAGGGATAAGAGTATCATAGGCAAAGAGAATCACATGAGCAAAGGTTTTGAAGTAGGAGTGAGTGAGGTACTTATACTTTGGAAGGTTGATGTGCCTGAAACATATTAATGCAGGGGGAAGTGTAGTATGAGATCCAGCTAGAGATGCAGTCAGGGGTAATGCTATCAATAATAAAGATAACCAAATGAAAATTGTATTCTAAATTCAATGTTAAATCACTGATAAATTTTAAGCCAGTTTGGTGGCTTAACAAACACTGAAATAAGTTATTTCTATATAACACACTTAAAACCTAAAGAAATCCTGATTTGTAATCCTGGAAGTAGACACAAAAGCATAGATCATCCTAAGCAGGAGATGATTTGGAATGGAGAAGAAACCAAAAAGAATACAGTAGTTAGATGGACATGCATGTGCAGGCAATGGCTGAACCAAGAGCCTCAGGGCATACATTTGTCATAAGAATCAGTAGCACTGGGCATTTGGTAAAGTGATCTGTGGCTTAATAATGCCACTGTAATTACTTAGACATGAGCCAGTTGTCACCATAGCCTAGCAGAAAGTCCTGGGTCAAAGAACACATAATATTGCTTCATGAACACTGTGAGATAGTCTCACCTGAAAACTTTCAAAATATTGGGAAAAATCTGAGACTATTCTCAGATTCTGGTATTCTGAAGAATATGTGAGTACAGAGTAGAGGAAATTTAAGTCAGTTAATTCTTGACTAATGTGTATAGGAGTGGGCAGAAGGATATATGTGATTTATTAATTTATCACTTTTCTTTTTCTTAACTGTAAACTTCTGGGACAGTCTTTTTCACTGTGATTCTGAAATATCTCCCTAAAGGATCTAGCTGTAGCTTTCTAGCCTCAGGAAATTGTTCCATTATATTAGAAGGAAAGTTGGAATGATGGTATATGGAAATATCTTTGAATTAACACTAATGTAGAAAAACATTCTTGCACGAATAAAAACTTAACTACTCTTAGTAATAAATTATTTCCAACATATCACACTTATCACAAAATACCTAGACTCTTGAAATGATCTTGTGAGAGAAGTATTAAAGAAATCTTTAATTCTTGTAAAGAATTTGTAACCTATTAGCCAAATGTCAAGAAGGTCCTAAGAATGCTAATTTTGAGGATTTACCCAGAGTGACTCAAGTCATTTCCCAAACAATTAAAAAAGCAGAGTTGAGAGAAAGAGATTATTTTACTTCCTTTATTAATGAACTTGATTTTTCTTATTCTTCATAAGGCACATTAAAAGTAAAGAGAAAAAAGAATTGTAGACATATATTAAATGCAATATAGTAGTGTAATTGCTCTTAATGGCAACATTTGCCCTTCTCTAACAATATCTCATTTTTTTTTTTAGAATTCAAGTTGTAAATATAAGTGACTATTCAGAATTTGATTTTAGTTAAAGGTATATAATCTGCAAGATTATAAGATCTCTATAGCACTTATAATAACTTTTTCCATAAAATTATTAACCTGTTTGTTTTATATACATATATATATATCAATATGTGAACAGTCTTTAGTATACTTCAAGCAATTGTCAGAGTAAATGGAATCAAAGAAAAATTTATTAACTTCATTAGTACTTATTAAATCTATTTTTTAATGAAACTAAACTTGCTTTTTACACTATCAATGTTTCTGTAATAGACTAAATGTCTCTATTACTGACTGATTGATTACTTGCATACATTACAGTTGTATTTAGCGTATTTAATGTTAATGGGGAGAAATACCCTATACTATATCAATCATTGCACTTATAAGGATGGACTATACAGATTTTGAGGATTTCTAAATGACCTCAATCTTTAAAATGTGCTAATTTCGTCTTTAACCACTGACAAACTACTGCAGGTTGGATTTTGCATTAAGTTACTCTTGAATCAGGCTGGATTTTTGCATTTGGGTACTCTTACATTCAGGTACTCTGGTACTCTTGCTTCTCTGTTCAAGCTATAGGCTGTTGTAATTTTTCTGAAATTTCACTGCATGCATAGACTTCTGTGCCCTAAAAGACAACACCTGGCTGCTTTGCACTACATGAGTAGCTCACTCCCATCTCTCACATACAGAACACAAGCTGTGCGGCACACATTGACTCATTGGAATAGATGAGAAATTTCTTTTAGTTCCATCTCAGCCAACACAGTGTCTCTTCTTGTCTTTGCCCCTATCCCTGTGTCACTAATGCGTATATTTTACATTTCAATTTTTAAATTTTTTCATGTCATAGATATTTTTCCAATTGCCAAATTTAAAGAAACCCAATTTCTTTTATTAGTAGTTACTTTATTGTTTATTTCTTTCTTTAAAACTTGTTCAAGAGAAAGTAATGTTTTTCCTGTTTTCTCAGTCTTCCAGTGCTCTATTTTCAGCCTTCTGAGTCCTTCACCCTCTCTAGGTACATACTAAGTTTTGGTTTATGATAAACTGATGAATCAGAATGACAAGATAACATTTAGTGTCAATAGCATATGCAAGAACTCACTGAGTGAATGGGATTTTAGTGACATAACGATGCAGAATTCGTAAGTGTGAGTCCTCCTTAGCCCTTTCCTCATCTGGGACAACTAAATTTTCAAGTGTGAGACTTTTGTAAGAAATAGGAAGATTCTAAGATCAATAGAAAGATTTACACATTAATGATAGACTATATCAAGGACTTTCAGACTAAATTAATTGGAACCGTATGCTGTCATATCATAAATCTCAACATTATTTTACTATCCCATTATGGTAAGAGTTATTTTACATAGGAAACACCTAAGTCTCCCTCAAAATTTCTGTTACAGCAAAGGTCTGTATCATTTTGATACCTTTTTTTATCCTACAGCATGGTTCAGGAGTCTCAGAACTGGCTGAGCCAGGCCAGGCCGGCTTACGTCCTTTCAGTTCGAGAAGCACCAAACACATTAAGAGTTTGGGTTGCAGTATGATATGGTTTGGCTCTGTGTCTCCACCCAAATCTCATCTTGTAGCTCCCATAATTCCCATGTGTTGTAGGAGGGACTCAGTGAGAGATGATTGAATTATAGGGGTGGGTCTTTCCCAAGCTGTTCTCATGATAGTGAATAAGCCTCATGAGATCTGGTGGTTTTAAAAGGGGAAGTTTTTCTGCACAAGCTCTCTTCTCTTGTCTGCCACCATGTGAGACATGCCTTTCACCTTCTGCCATGACTGTGAGGCCTCCCCAGCCATGTGGAATTGAAAGTCTAATAAACCTCTTTCTTTTGTAAATTGCCCAATCTCAGGTATGTCTTCATTAGCAGCGTGAAAATGAACTAATACACTGTATATGCCTTTTTAAAAATGTAAGTACTTAATTTCTTTTGAGAAAAAAACCTGGTTTCTTTTGAGTTCATTAAAAATATATAGAGAGAAGGAAGAAATTATCCTTAATTCAGAAAGAACAAAAGAATGCTGATATTGTTCAGTGAAGAAGAAATAGCCTTTCTTTCCTCTTGCCTCCAGTAAGCTTCCACATTTCTTTCCTAAATCACTTTAAAGAAAAGACATATTCTTCATTTGATTTTTCAGAATTCCAGATACTGATGGAAGCGTGGTTGTAAGTGGGTAGGATTACTGTGCTCAAGGATTGGTACCCAGTGCTGTTCTCTGTTGCTTCTTTTGCATTCCATGGAGTGAGTAGACCCAGATAAGGTGCTCCCTCAGCAAGCACCATGGATCAAGACCCTCCTCTTAGTACAAAATCATTAACATGTTGCCAAATGTCCTTAAAATATAATTAATCTTAGAGGTAATTACCAATTAGTTAAGATTATTAACTGTAGCTCATTTTAAACAGAAATAGCTTAAACATCATGAGTCTGAAGTTTTCAACTAACCTTCTACAATTTATTCATATAAATTTGATCTTTGAGCACTGAAATATTTTTCTGTTAGTAAACAATGCTTGTTCTATTAGGTTGGTGCAACAGTAACTGCGGTTTTTGCCATTAAAAATAATGGCAAAATATATATTTGGAGCACTGCTTTTGGTAAGATAAGCATATAAATTAATGTAGTATACAAGGATCTTTAATATGAGCTGATAAAAAGCCTGGCATGCAATCTTTGTTAAGATATCTTCATGTTACTTTTTTTCTACTTGTTTAATACCTATTTTCTGTATACATTAAGAATCTTTTTAATGTATTACAATTTTGTTAACTTTATGGACAAACAAAATATCACTTGTACCTAAAACCAGAAATAGACACAATAGGATGTTTGGGGAGTTGAAACTTGATAGACACTTAATGAGAAAAAAAATAAAGAGAAACTAATTTCAAACACTGTCAACAATATGGAGGATAAGACCTAATCTCAAACTTCAAAGGTCTTAGTTTCTAATGTAATGAAACTGTCAAAATGAAAACAAAGTAAACATACTAGAACAAGAAATTCAGGTGATAGATGTTACTGATTCATGTTAACTTATCTTGATCATGTGATGCCTTATAATTTGCATCAGGATAGTATTCTGTGAATATGCATGCTGGCATAACATATGCTCACCAGGTTGCATCGTATATGTTTTATATTTTTATTTGAATCCTCCAATAATCCTGACAGTAAAGAAATAATAGCAACTGGAAAATATCCATCCTTGTTTACTGTCTCTGTGCCATAAAAATCCCAATGTCTGTGAGAATAAATGTCAACATAGAAACGGCTAATATTGCATGAGCACTTAACATAAACTAAGAAGTTCATATCAATTCTTTCTTTTGATCCTTATCTTAGTCTTATAAATTGAAGTACTTTTCATTTCACATGATAGGCTTCAGGCTATGAGAGATTACATGGCCAGAATTTTGACCAATGTGTCTGTCCCCTAAGGCTTTGTGCTTAACCACTTTCATACTGCTCCCCCCACACACTTCTGCTATGCTGTCATAAAAGATTTTCTTAACAATCTGAATCCAATGCAGGTTTCAAGTCTTATTACCTTAATTTTTAGCTAAATTTCTTTCGGTTGACACCCAAAAGAGAGAACTGTGTTCCCAGAGTAGCAATCATTTTAGTGCTAGTTTTTAATACTTGAAAAATGTCTACATGTCTTTGAGCTTATTTAAATTTCCACTTAATAAATATATTAAAGTACCCAGACTGGAACTCTGATCAAGTTAAATATTAATCTGACATCTTTTTCAGTGGCCTAAAAACAATTGAGGATTTTAGCACCACATTATTTCTGGATGTCTCTCAAAACCCAGAACAAAAAATGGGTATTGATTGCCCTTCACTTCATCCCTTTTCAAATCACATTTTTATCTTTTTACACATGTGAAGCCTTACCAGATGAGGCCTTTGCCAGCATTTCGCATCAATACATTTTTGCAACCAATTTGAAGTTCCAATACATCCATCTCCTTTGCACAATATGTCTTAGTATTACAATAAAGTTATTAAGATCTGTGGCTTCCTGAATGCATCCATCACCTAATTTCAATTTAGATTTTTTGGTTCTGAATGACTACTTTTAAATGGCCCTTTTGGAGGCAAAGAAAGATACACTTTAGAACTATTTACTAGTATCAAATTATATACTTATCTGTAAGGTTATCTCTATAGAATGTTCAATGTCTGGATTAAAACGCAAAGGAATATAAATCTAATATGATTTTGAACATTTAAATTTCATTGTTTTGTAACTCAACCCATGATACATGGTGACATGTCATTACAAACTTGGATGATATTTGGTGTTTGTTAGTTTATTCTTTGTAACCGAAAAATGTGCGTATATATTCAATCTCAAAGTAAACTTAATTTCAAGAAAACCTTGTGGGAGTAAATTCTGATTATTTCCTAAAAGTTGATAAAGTCATTTCCATGCCATTTGATATTTACAGTTATCTTAGCTGCCTTCTCCCTTCAGTTCCAAAAATAGAAGTTAATGTGATTTTATAACATATTTAGATGTATGGACTATAGCAAATAATTATATTTTAAGAAGAAAGCCATCTTTGTAAAGCATTGTAAGTTAAAAATGCAGAGATAATATACTATGAATTATTCGGAGTTATATGATGAAAAAAACTGATACCACTATACACTTATTAGAGTGGTTAAATTAAAAAAAATATTAGCAATACTAGTATACTGACGAGGGTATGAAGCTCTTGGAGCTCTCATACATTGCTAGTGGAAATACAGAATGGTACAACTTGAAAAGTAACTTTTTATAAAGCTAAATATACACTTACTTAATGACCCAGCAATCCCACCACTGAGTAGTTACTCTCAAGTAATGAAAACTTACATCTTCATGAAAACCTATACTTGAATATTTATAGCAGCTTGCCTCCTAATTGCCAAAAAACTGGAAATGACTCAAATATTCTCTAACAGATGAATGGACCTGAGAAGATAAGGAAAATCCATCGTTCTCTTTATTAAGAGTGAAAAGATACACGGACCAGGGCTTTTTGTGAGAATCAGCTTCTTTTGTATTTTAGGCACCTACCACCATCACTGACATTTTTGTGCAGTTCCTGACCTCAGTGGCAATAGTAACATTCAGATTCTCTGTAGACCAGCAGTGTACCTGAGATCCAGCCATTGTATTAGTTTTGTAAGTACACAGATTCTTAAATTAAAGCCTGTCCTGTGTGAATATCTACAGTGCTTATTGCTTTTCTGAATAAGTGCTGCTCTAATAGAAGAATGCATTACCTTCACTTTACAAATGCGCATTCTGAGGCATTGAAAGTTTCACAGTGAGTAGAGGTAAAGACATGATAGGATTGTAAAATCAGTACTCATTCTTTACCTCCAGAATTTCTGCTGCTTTCCATAGGAGAATGCTGCTTTTAAAAAAATAGTGGAGTGACCTATCTTTAGCCATTTTCCTTTGGGTAACATAATATGGATGTTGGGTCATGCACATAAGAAAGAAAGACACTCATTTCCCTTTATACTAATGGTACAAGACGGCATTATGAGAATAAATAATAGAGATGGACCTTTTTGAAGACCTATATGTAGGTCACAGAATGCTGAATGGGGCCACAAATTATGTCTTACCCTTGACAAAGAGATCACTAGAGATAACACGTAAGATGACAACAATCAGAAATTATAACTTTGGTAATATCAAAGGAGATTGGGAAAAAAAGTCTTAAATTGACTTTTAGGAGATAGGAAGTAACCAGATTACAAAGTAAATAACTAGGGATCTACTTGGAGTTGAGAATCTTCATGGACAAATATGATTTAAAAAAAGGTCAAACTGAGCTGGGTGCGGTGGCTTACGCCTGTAATCCCAGCACTTCGGGAAGCCGAGGAGGTGGGTGGATCACGAGGTCAGGAGATCGAGACCATTCTGGCTAACACGGTGAAAACCCGTCTGTATTAAAAATACAAAAAAAAACTAGCCGGGTGTGGTGGCGGGCGCCTGTAGTCCCAGCTACCGGGGAGGCTGAGGCAGGAGAATGGCATGAACCCCGGAGGCGGAGCTTGCAATGAGCGGAGACAGCGCCACTGCACTCCTGCCTGGGTGACAGAGTGAGACTCCGTCTCAAAAAAAAAAAAAAAAAAAAAAAAAAAAAGTCAAACTGAAGCACTGATGAAAGGAACAATAGGGCCGTTTGCAAAACTCAACACATGCAGTGGATCCCAGGAAAACTGGATATGCAGAAGGAAATGTTCCGCCAGGTCTCATGTACCACTTAAAAAATAAAATAAAACCAAGAAACGAGACAGACTACATGAGTGGGTTTCACAGATTGAGTTTCAAAGGCACTGTGAGTTTCTATATGCAGTTTACATATGTGAAATGCTTTATTTTGTTTTTCTGCTAAATTAACCCTCAATATAATATTTTGACAAAAGTGCTTGTGTCATAGTCAGGAATTCTCATGAATATTCAACCGTGAGGGAATTTCTTTTAGAAAATAATATTCTTGAAATGATGTAAAGATTTCTGGAGCAATATGTTTCCCATTATGCGTTTGTGAAATCATATTATATCCCATTATTCAAAAAACTTGAATTAAGAACATAAATTCTTAAAAATTATTATACAAGAGATTTGTATTTCAGCCGTATTCATCAACAGTGATTTTATAATCTATGTACCTGCATCTACTTTGATGAAAGTGAGTTTATTCCTATTTTATAAAAGGAAAAATAAAGTTTTAAAGATTTTAGACTTCTATTATAATAAACGTGAAAGTTCTAAATTTCCCATGTTTGTGTGACATATTTACATATTTTTCATGAGAACCAAAATTAATTTCACTTTTTCATATACTCATTGGTTTTCAAATTTCTTTATAATCAATATTTATTAAATATATCATTTTTATTAAGTGCTTTAATATAAAGTTTTAAGAAATAAATAGAAATTCACAAACAGCAATTTGAAATAGCCCTATTATCTGTATATAGCAAATGCTGTATTTTGCTTTCACTTTAAAACAGATGTTAGAAAATTCAATCGAATGTATGTTTTTAAATATGCTCATAAACAATTTTATGTGTTTAGAGATTTATTCATAAATTTCCTAATTAGGTGCCAACTATATTGATAGATAAAAATACCTACAATGGAAAAAAATAATTTTTTTTGAATTGAATATTTGGTCTTACAGAATACAATACACGGAACACAATGTGAATGGAATCTTCATCCCAGAGCTCAATAGCAAAATTGGAAATGAGTTTAAAAGGCTGAGAAATCAAAAGATAAAATAATTTCATATATTTAGAAATTAAAGATAATATTTCTAAGAAATCCAGGAGTCAAAAAGTACAGTAGAATTTAAGAAGCTAAAAAATAAATAGCAATGACAATATGATATATTAAAAACTTAAGAATAAATCCAAATAGTAATTTGAAGGGAAATT
This sequence comes from Homo sapiens, assembly GCF_000001405.40. Classification (NCBI taxonomy): domain Eukaryota; kingdom Metazoa; phylum Chordata; class Mammalia; order Primates; family Hominidae; genus Homo; species Homo sapiens. The sequence continues at coordinate 95,906,207 of NC_000006.12, read as the reverse complement.
TATAACCTTAAATGCAGATATTTAAAATAAAAATGTTTGAAAGATAGAAAATTACTGACATCATAATTCAACATAAACTTATGAAATATATGCAGAAAAAAACACATAAAAGAAGTAAATAATAAGAGGCAGAATAAAACAATAAATGAAAATAACAAAGGTCTATGAAAAAGACTGATCAAATAAAGTTTTGGAAAATTTAATAAAAACAACAAAAATAAATACACTAAGAGAAAATGCACAGATAATAATAACAGCTTATATTTCACATGTATTAACTGATTTAATCTGCAACAACTTACAGAGTAGAGAGTATCACTGTTCTCAATTTATAGTTGCCCAAAGTCACACAACTGGCCAAGCTCCCACAATGAGCCAGAAATTTGAATGCATAGAGTCTGTCTTTAGTGCCCTTTTGCTCAACAAATTGTTTTATATCACTAGATAAACAGTATTTGTTTCTGGATACTTTTATAATACAATAATATGATAGAATTTATGCTAATAAATTTGAAATTTTAAATAAAATAAACTCATGGTCAGTGAATGTATCATGTCTGATCCTGCTTTCATGAGAAGTATTTCTAAGAATTTGTATCTTCCTTTCCCCTTTATCCCTCTAGGCAAGCAGGGATAATTTGATTGATAATTGTGGGCAGAATAAATGGTACATGGTCAGCTCAGTTCCTTCCAATTCCTTTAGAAACTGGCCGACCAGGAGAACATTTGTTCCTTACTCCTTTGAGCAGTGTGGGGCTAGGGGTTTTCCCTCTGTGTTCATCAGGGTGAGTTTGAGATGATATGCTGACCTCATTGTGGATTTCAATATCATGGAGACTGTCAGTGTTCTCCCCAACCCAACCTTCAAAATCATCCTCGTCAGCAATAAGGGTGACAGCTGCTTTCCATCGACCTTTATCTTTTGTTTTATCTTTCAATTTCTTAAGAACATAAAGGGGTGAGGTAGGAAGAAGGAATCTTATGTATCCTCCTCAAATATCAATATCTAGTGCATGGGGAGACAGCAGGAAGTGCAATTTTGCAGAGGAAAGATAACCTGTGCAGATGAGGATTCTGGCAGTCAGGACATGCAGCTTTAAGCATTGGGACATCGCTCTATCACAGGCATTTGACCTTGGCAGTTTGCTATGGCCTGTGTTGTACAGTGTGACTGCATTACTAGGTGTGTGGCTGAATTTAACTTCAAGTCTTAGGTCTTCTGGAATTTTCTCTTTGTGTCACTGAAGCTTATGGTGGATAGCAAATTAGAATTAGAATCCAGACATGTATACCTCTTTGCTAACCTCTTTTTTTTTTTTTCTTAATGGGCCAAACAAACACAGTTCTATATGCAAGTTCTGCTGCTTCATGCTGGAATATCAAAGGAAACTGCCCCTGAAAGAGAGGGCTATGTTTTCCACTGCCTCCTGTGACAGGCAGACACATACCTTATTCTGGCAGTCAGGATTAAAAAGTTTTATTCCGGCAGTTATAAGCTGCATCTTTTAACCTATATTTTATAAATAAAAGTGATATTTTGATCTCCCGTTTATTCATTTATGTATTTGATTTATCAATTTGTTCAAAACTCAGGTATGAAAGACACCTGATATATATTGGCCACTTTGAATTCAGAAATCTAATGTATAGGCTGAACTTTTGAAAGATGGACAAGAAGTGGACTTGGGAGTACATTAAAATATAGGGAATCAAAAGCTTATTGCATGGCCAGGGCAGTGGAATTTAGTCCTTGGCAATATTTTCTAAAGGTAGGACATGTGGAATTTTGATCCTGTTGAGGCTCTGCAGTATATAGCTGTTTTGCTTAATTAATATACCATAGCCGTAAGCAAAGACACTGACCTCATCAAAGTGCAGGCTATTCTGTCAGCAGGCACTTTGTATTAGTTGCTCCAAATCTTTTTCCTGTTTTACTTTTTTCTTAACTGTCTTCAGGGTCTAATTCTTTATTTTATTTTATTTTATTATTATTATACTTTAAGTTTTAGGGTACATGTGCACAGTGTGCAGGTTAGTTACATATGTATACATGTGCCATGTTGGTGTGCTGCACCCATTAACTCGTCATTTAGCATTAGGTATACCTCCTAAAGCTATCCCTCCCCCTCCCCCCACCCCACAACAGTCCCCAGAGTGTGATGTTCCCCTTCCTGTGTCCATGTGTTCTCATTGTTCAATTCCCACCTACGAGTGAGAATATGCAGTGTTTGGTTTTTTGTTCTTGCGATAGTTTACTGAGAATGATGATTTCCAATTTCATCCATGTCCCTACAAAGGACATGAACTCATCATTTTTTATGGCTGCATAGTATTCCATGGTGTATATGTGCCACATTTTCTTAATCTAGTCTATCATTGTTGGACATTTGGGTTGGTTCAAAGTCTTTGCTATTGAGAATAGTGCCGCAATAAACATACGTGTGCATGTGTCTTTATAGCAGCATGATTTATAGTCCTTTGAGTATATACCCAGTAATGGGATGGCTGGGTCAAATGGTATTTCTAGTTCTAGATCCCTGAGGAATTGCCACACTGAGTTCCACAATGGTCGAACTAGTTTACAGTCCCACCAACAGTGTAAAAGTGTTCCTATTTCTCCACATCCTCTCCAGCACCTGTTGTTTCCTGACTTTTTAATGATTGCCATTCTAACTGGTGTGAGATGGTATCTCATTGTGGTTTTGATTTGCATTTCTCTGATGGTCAGTGATGGTGAGCATTTTTTCATGTGTTTTTTGGCTGCATAAATGTCTTCTTTTGAGAAGTGTCTGTTCATGTCCTTCGCCCACTTTTTGATGGGGTTGTTTGTTTTTTTCTTGTAAATTTGTTTGAGTTCATTGTAGATTCTGAATATTAGCCCTTTGTCAGATGAGTAGGTTGGGAAAATTGTCTCCCATTTTGTAGGTTGCCTGTTCACTCTGATGGTAGTTTCTTTTGCTGTGCAGAAGCTCTTTAGTTTAATTAGATTCCATTTGTCAATTTTGGCTTTTGTTGCCATTGCTTTTGGTGTTTTAGACATGAAGTCCTTTAATTCTTATATTTTCTCCATAGTTTCAAATGTCACTTGCTACCACAAGCCATTAAGTTGATTTTAGATTTGTTAATTATAAAAACGTTGAACATTTCAAAAATGCAACCTATAGCTTAAAAGAAGGATAGATTTTACTCTGGAAGTCAGCATTAGAAGAATGAGGCCCTGTATTGTGAAAAAAGTATGTAACTCCTCAACACACTTCAATGATCACAAAGCTTAAGGTTAAAGAAACGGTTAACAAGGCTTGCACAGGAAATGCACTGTCTCCTGAAATCAAGATTATCCAGAAAAGTAAGGAAAACCTGGAGTGGGTTTGAAAACATGTTTGCCATCAGAACAGCAACAATAGAAGAATGAAAACAGAATAAAGTTTGGTAGACTGATTAAATTGGGAAAACATAGGTTTCTTTTTATTATAGTCTGATAAAAATGGTAAAATTAAAATTTAAAGGACTGGAGAGTCTGAAATAAAAAGGAAAACAGTATCTACCCAGGTTTGTGCTAAACGGATTTTCAGGAGAGTGGTTATTAGCTCAGAAATAGTCCTTGGTGTCCAGTAACATCTGAAGGAGAAAGAGGTATGGATACAGAGAGTGTACTGGAATGATACTCTCAAAAGACTGTGACAGTCCCTAATAAGAGCTGTATAAATGCTGTCACTTAGAAATTAGAACAGCTAAATAATATGGTTAAATTAAATTTCAAAAGACATGAGCCGAAGAGTTGAGGAAGATCAGAATAAAATATGTAATGAATTACTGGGTGTGTTTCAAGGTATTATAGATATTTGGAGAGCACTACTACTATTTGAGAAATTTACCATATTTAAACTCTGAAAAAACATAGCAAATATAAGTCATGTTAAGAGGGAACCTGGGGTACAATAATAGGGCAAAATCTAGCTGGTTGAGATGTTGGTTTGATCAGAGTCCATCTACTGAGTGGATTTATTTATTAATCAATTAAATAAAGTATAGATGGATGATATTTGTTTGAACAATGTATGCTTTTTGGATGGCCCAGAGCTCAATGACTTCCTATTTCTTACCTTTAGAGAATCGATAATTTAAAATCTAGATATGCCTTAAGAAGCAAACATCTTGCTAAGATGCAAAGGAGAAAAATGGAAAGAGCTTATATCAGCGAACCATATTTATTCCATCGTTGTAAACGTAAGAAAATCTTTAAGCAGATTAAATGTCCAATAGTTATATGAAAAAATGCTCAACATCACTAAGTCAGAGAAATACAAATTAAAACTACAATGAAATATCAACTCACACCTACTAGGATGGCTAATCTCAAAAAGCCAAGAAATAATTGTTAGAGAGGATGTGGAGGAAAGAAAACCCTCGCACGCTGTTGGTGAGAATGTAAATTAGTATAGCCATTATGAAAAACATTATGGAAATTCCTCAAAAATCAAAAATAGAAGTACCAGATGATCCAGCAATTTCATTTCTTGGCATAGGTCTGAAAGAAATAAAATCAGTATGTCAAATTGATATTTGCATTTCTATATTCATTGCAGCATTATTCAGAATAACCAAGACACAGAGTCAACCTAAGTGCCCATTAATGGAAGAAAGGATAAAGAAAATATGGTATATAGACAAAATAGAATATTATTCAGCATTAAAAAAGAAGAAAATCCTGTCATTTACAACATGGATGAACCCAGAGGACATTATGCTAAGTGAAATAAACCAGACACAGAAGGAAAAACAATGCATGTGTATTCTAAAAACATCAAACTCATAGAAGTAGATAATAGAATGGTGATCCAGGGACTGGGGCAGGAGCTGGGACATTGGGGAAATGTTGGTCAAAGGACACACAATTTTAGTTAGATAGAAGGATGAAGTTCAGGAGATCTATTGTACAACATGGTGATTATAATTAACAATGTACTATATCCTTGAAAATTGCTAACACCACAGATTTTAGTTGTTCTCACAAGACACAAAAATGTGATAAGGTAATGTATGTGTTAATTAGCTTTATTTAGCCATTCTGCAATGTATGCACATATCAAAATATCATATTGTACACCATAAATGTATACTTCTTTTTTCAATTAAAAATAAATTATTAAGGACACTGGTTAACAATTTACTAGAAGCATATCTCAATACAACAGAAAAAGATGCAGAAGGAATGCAAAGGCTGGGATATTTGGAAGCCAAGGTAAGCAAAGGAGCACAAGAGTGCTTTTGGTCCTCATGTGCATTTAGGGACACTGGCTTCAGAAGCATCAACTACTGCCTCACTGCAGAAATCTTCCTAAATTGAAGATCCTGCTGAAACATGTGGGGATGAAAGGGAAACCATCATCTACTAGGGTGAACACAACAAGGTGTGCTACCAACAGAGGAATGAAAACACCTTTTGTCACTAGCTACATGCCACACTCAAGTCAGCAAGAGTTCTGAATATAATGAATAAGAAAGAAAGATACCTCAAGTAAGACCTGATGACAGGGAATGTCAATAATGCACATTTCTAAACACTGCAGATATTAAGTAATGTCTCAATTACCAAAGACAAGATATATAGGTTGATTTTCCCTATACATTGGGTAAATAAACCACTTGTTACCTTTCTCCTGATTGAATTTAATATCTCAATGAGTGGACTCTGGAAACCTATTGAAGCTGAAACTCAAGTCAGACTCCTTCATTAGACACCACTGAGTTAGTGCTATCACCCTTGGCAATGCAAAGCATTGGTTTCTGGGAATATCACTTTGTTGGGGTTAATTGCTTTAGGGGACATATGTTAATTGTTTCCTAAATTTGGTGATGGTGATTTCAATGCTGTGATAATCTCGTATGTTCTATAAATGTGTTGGATTCTGCAAAAGTGAAGCACATTAGAAATTTGGCATTGAACTAATTCTCCTCAAGACGGCAAGGAATCTCATCCATTTCCATGAAAGGCAGCCCAGGCTGTAGCTTCTGAAGAAACTTGAACTCCATCCATCCATTAAGAGCCCCTCTTGCTAAGAGTGAGAAGGATAATCAATTGTAAGGATTTATAGATGTTTTATACTCAAAGGGTGAGTTAGTGTGATTTTAGATTTTAGTTACACTGGACTTTAGTTTGCAAGGAAATTCAGTATTTTGAGTTTAGTATTTCCAGTGAAACTTTATAATTGGAGAAAGGAAGTTTGTAATCATTTTTTGGCCCTTCTGTCAGTGGCACTTTATTACTAGATTGTCTTTATACTGTTAATTGGTTTTGCTGAAGAACCATAATGTGATATGTTAAAAGCATGACCATACTTAACTTGGAATGGGAAATATATTCAGTAATAAATTTGCAGTTTCCAGTGCAGAATAATCTTTAACCTAAGTAATATGTCCATTTCAGAGACCCATATTTTAAACTGTTTTGAAGATATATTCTATGGTGTATTAGTCTATTCTCACACTGCTAATAAAGACATACCCAAGGCTGGGTAATTTATAAAGGAAAGAGGTTTAATTGACTCACATCCTAAGCAAAAAGAACAAAGCAGGAGGCATCACACTACCTGACTTCGAACTATACTACAAAGCTACAGTAATCAAAACAGCATGGTACTGGTACCAAAACAGAGATGTAGACCAAGGAAACAGAACAGAGGCCTCAGAAATAACACCACACATCTACAACCATCTGATATTTGACAAACCTGACAAAAACAAGAAATGGGGAAAGGATTCCCTATTTAATAAATGGTGCTGGGAAAACTGGCTAGCCACATGTAGAAAGCTGAAACTGGATCCCTTCCTTACACCTTATACAAAAATTAATTCAAGATAGATTAAAGACTTAAACGTTAGGCCCAAAACCATAAAAACCCTAGAAGAAAACCTAGGCAATACCATTCAGGCCATAGGTATGGCCAAGGACTTCATGACTAAAACACCAAAAGCAATGGCAACAAAAGCCAAAATTGGCAAATGGGATTTAATTAAACTAAAAAGCTTCTGCATAGCAAAAGAAACTACCATCAGAGTGAACAGGCAACCTACAGAATGGGAGAAAATTTTTACAATCTACCCATCTGACATAGGGCTAATATCCAGAATCTACAAATAACTTAAACAAATTTACAAGAAAAAAATCAAACAACCCCATCAAAAAGTGGGCAAAGGATATGAACAGACACTTCTCAAAAGAAGACATTTATGCAGCCAACAGACACATAAAAAATGCTTATCATCACTGGCCATCAGAGAAATGCAAATCAAAACCAAAATGAGATACCATCTCACACCATTTAGAAGGGTGATCATTAAAAAGTCAGGAAACAACAGGTGCTGGAGAGGATGTGGAGAAATAGGAACACTTTTACACTGTTGGTGGGACTGTAAACTAGTTCGACCATTGCCAAAGACAGTGTGGTGATTCCTCAGGGTTCTAGAACTAGAAATAACTTTGACCCAGCCATCCCATTACTGGGCATTTACCCAAAAGATTATAAATCATGCTGCTATAAAGACACATGCACACATATGTTTATTGCAGCACTGTTCACAATAGCAAAGACTTGGAACCAACCCAAATGTCCATCAATGATAGACTGGATTAAGAAAATGTGGCACATATACACCATGGAATACTATGCAGCCATAAAAAAGGATGAGTTCATGTCCTTTGTAGGGACATGGATGAAGCTAGAAACCATCATTCTGAGCAAACTATCACAAGGACAGAAAACCAAACACTGCATGTTCTCACTCATAGGTGGGAATAGGTGGGAATTGAGCAATGAGAACACTTGGACACAGGATGGGGAACATCACACCAGGGCCTGTCGTGGGGTGGGGGGAGGCGGGGAGAGAGCATTAGGAGATATACCTAATGCTAAATGACGAGTTAATGGGTGCAGCACACCAACATGGCACATGTATACATATGTAACAAACCTGCATATTGTGCACATGTACCCTAGAACTTAAAGTATAATAAAAAGTAAAAATAAATAAAAGAAATTTTTTTAAAAAAGAAGAATAAGTGAAATGCTTTTGAAAGAAATGGTAGAAAATAAGAAAAAATACTTTTATGATCAGTATTCCTTAAGAAGATAAAAAAAACAATGGAATATAACATAACCAAAACTACAATCTTAGAAATATTCCTAGAAATAAAAGAAAACCTGAATGTACACATTTAAAGGATCTATGAGACACCTGGGATAATTAGCCCAGAATAACAACTTCAAAGCCAATTATAGTAAAACTATTACATTTAAAAGATGAAGAAAAAAATTTCTTATGGCCACAAAGAGACATAATCAAATAATTTCAAGGACAAAATAATTAGCCTGGTATGAACATTTTATGGAGTAACATTTTCAAAAAACTCAAATATAGTATGAATTATAAACTACATCTAGCTATGTAATACAGAATGAATTACAAACTACATCTGGCTATGTAATATAGTATGAATTACAAACTACATCTAGCTATGGAATATAGTATGAATTACAAACTATATCTGGCTATGTAATATAGTATGAATTACAAACTACATCTGGCTATGTAATATAGTATGAATTACCAACTACAAGTTGTCTTTCAAGTGTTAAGGTTATAGAAATCAGTTTCAGGCATACAAGAGCTTAGCGAACTCTCCATCCATGAACTCTGAGCCGCCTAGTAGAGCAGTAATCTAATCTGCTTATGAAGATAAAATTTTGTTGGAACACAGTCATGAATACTTATTTATGGGTTGTCTATGGCTGCTTTTGAGCTACAATAATTGTATTAGCCAGGATTCTACAGAGAAACAGAACCAATAGGACATATAAAAATATAAATTTATATATATATATAAAACGTGATTATGGAAACTGAGAATTCCCATGGTATGCCATCTGCAAGCTGGAGAACTGGGAAAGCTGGTGGTATAATTCAGTCTGTGTCCAAAAGCCTGAGAACTAAACTAGGAGCTTCAATGTCTGAGGGCAGGTGAAATTGATGTCCCGGCTCAAGAAGGTAGACAGAAAATTCACCTTTCCTCTGCCTTCTTGTAGTTTGGACCCACAAAAAATTGGATGATGCCTGCCCACATTGGTGAGGGTGGATCTGCTATATTCAGTCTACTGATTCAAAGGCTAATGTCTTCCACAAACACTGTCACGAACGCACCCAGAAACAATGTTTTGTGAGCATAAGCTAATTCAACTAAGCCATGACTAGAAAAACTTCAGCAAAAGGAATGATGGGGTGGAGATGACAGTAAAAGACTAATGCACAGATGTCATATGTTGCACAAATTAGAAATAATGCAACTAGATGGAGAAGGGAGAAAAAAATAGAATAAATTTATTGATTAGATCACATTAAAGGATACCATAAAACTGACAAAACTGACAGTAGATATTGTATAAGACAACAGAAGACTAAGATGATTGAAGAAGATAAAGTACGAAGGAAATTACTATAAAAACAAAAACCTTCCTAAATACCATTTTTTCCATAAATTCAAAAGAAAAAATACATTAAAGAAAGAAATAGAGCTAATTATCACGTAATGGATACACTTAAAAATTTAACAGAGTTCAGAGTAAACATTTCAATTGCACCCATAAATGTGAATAGGATCAACTTCGTCCATCTTAAGGTCAATCTTTCAATTTGACTAATGAAGTATGACCCAATCATGTGCAGTACATTAAATACTCATAAAAATAATGACTCAGAAAGGCTAAAAAAAAAAATGATGGACCGACAGAAACAATAAAAGAGCAGTGGTAGTGTTCTAATATCAGAAAAGTAGAATTCAAACCAAAAAGTACAAAATGTGATCAAAAAGTTTACTATTTAATGCCAAAAGCCAAAATTCATAAAATATATTCATAAGTATATATGCAGAAAATAAAAAAGCATCCATCTTATATGGAACACTACATATAAGAATTTGAGATGTAGTTAAACAGCTATCTAAGAAAAATTCATCCTAATAAACGCTTTATCTGTAGAAATAAAAGAATAAAATAAACACATGGTTCAAAATAAAAATAGAGAGGAACACAGTAAATCAAAGAAACCATATAGAAGGAAACATGAAGAAATAAATAAAATATAATATGAAAGCTGTAGACCTAATTAATAAATCAAATTTCTGTTTATTAAAAATAATAAACTAATCTCATCAAAAGAAAGATAGAAAACCCCAATACAGAAAAGAAATAACAACAGGGAGCTATCGGTTGAAATAGAAAAAAAAAAATTCTTAAATATGAAAGACAACTTTTTAGGTCTCTATGAAAACAAATTTTAAAATTTAGATTAAATGAATAATTCCTAGGTCATACTGGCATCATTAAAAAAAGAAGCATAAACAGACAGATTTTATAGAATAAGTAAAGAAATTTGTTATGTTACTACTACATACACACACAAAAGGACCAACTCTGATGGTTTTTACTGTGGATTCTAATAATTTCCCAAATTGGTTGTTCCAATATTCTCAGAATTGTTTCAGAGTATGGAAAATAAAGCAATACTTTCTAATCATTTTATGAAACAAGTATGACATAGACACAGAAGTATAAAGAATATGTGGTACATATATACCATGGAAGACTATGCAGCCATTAAAAAGAATGAGATCATGTCCTTTGCAGGACCATAGATGAAGCTGGAGGCCATTATCCTTGGCAAACTAACACAGGAACAGAAAAACCAAATGCTGCATGTTCTCACCGCCTAAGTGGCAGCTGAATGATGAGAATGCATGAACACACAGAGGGGAATAACACACATTGGAGCCTATCGGAGGGTAGACGGTGGGAGGTGGGAGAGAATTAGAAAAAATAACCAATAGGTACTAAGTTTAATACCTGGGTGATGAAAGAATCTGTACAACAAACAAACCCGTATGACACAAGTTTAGCTTTGTTAACAAACCTGCACGTGTACCCTTCTTAAAAGTTAAAAAAATAAATAAATAAACTTCAGGCTAATATCATCTATAAATATTGATGTAAAAATACTAAGTAAAATGTTAGCAAACATAATTCAACTCCACATTAAGAAAATAGTATACCTTCACCGACTATAACTTATTCCAATAATGCAGTGATTCGACATTAGGAAATCCATCAGTACAGTGTGAGTGTAGAGCTAAGGTAAAATTTTATAAAGCTATCTCCACAAATGATGAAAAAGCCTTCTGCCATTCTTGATAGCAATACTAGAGAAAATGGAAATTAAGGAACATTTTTAAATACAATAGTTCCTTAGTATTAATGTAAGTATCTCACTTAATGTGCAGCATATCTGCAAAAATCAGGAAGAAGACAAATATATATGCTATTTTCTGAACAAAATATTTTGCTTTGCAGTTATAGAAGAGAAAAAAATGAAAAGCATAAGTTTTGATAAGAAAGAAGTAAGAGGATCTCTATTTGTAGATTATATGTGAAAAACATGAGAGAATCCTTGATAAAACTAAACCAATAAAATTCAGCAAGTAAGCAGGATATCAAATTAACATATTTAAATTAATAGCCTTCATATACACAAAAAATAACAAGCTACATAATATAAAGTTAGAAGGAAATCCCATTTACAATAACAGCAAAAATGAAGTAATAGAAATAAACTTAATAAGAAATATACAAAAAAATTCTCAAGAATTGAAAATTAGATGAATAAATGGAAAAACCTCTTTTTTGAATGGAGGAAAATATATATCAGTTCTCCGGCCAGGCACAGTGGCTCACGCCTGTAATCCCAGCACTTTGGGAGGCCGAGGGGGGCGGATCACGAGGTCAGGAGATCGAGACCATCCTGGGTAACATGGTGAAACCCCGTCTCTACTGAAAATACAAAAAGTTAGCCGGGCGTGGTGGTGGGCGCATGTAGTCCCAGCTACTCGGGAGGCTGAGGCAGGAGAATGGCGTGAACCTGGGAGGCGGAGCTTCCAGTGAGCCGAGATAGTGCCATTGCACTCGGGCCAGGGTGACAGAGTGAGACTTTAGGAGATATACCTAATGCTAAATGACGAGTTAATGGGTGCAGCACAGCAACATGGCACATATATACATATGTAACAAACCTGCACGTTGTGCACATGTACCCTAAAACTTAAAGTATAATAATTAAAATAATAATAATAATAAAATTAAAAATTAAAAATTAAAATATATATATATATCAGTTCTCCCTATGTTAATATATATATTAAAAACAACCTCAATAAAATGTCACAAGTGTTTTATGATTTTAAACAATTTGATACTAAAATTCATACAAAAAACCAAACAAAAATACAGGCAGCAAAATACAGAAAAAGAAAAACTACAGAAGGGAACAAGCCCTATCGGACATTAAAATACATTCTAAAGCCTCTATAATTAAGTCAGTATTTTACTGGTATATTGATAAACATATAGAACAGCAGAATAGAATGTATGGCCTCAAAATAGATGCAAATGCCTTTGGAAATTAAGTATATGATGACGGTGTTAATTCAAATTCCTGCGGCAAAAATAAACATTTTAATAAATGGTTCTGGGAAAACTGGATAGTTATTTGGTAAAAGATAAAATTAGATCTATAATTTAGACTGTGCCCTCCAAAGAGGGCGGAGTGAAACATTTAGTGTTGAAAGGAAAAAGAAACAAAAAACAAAAACAACAACAACAACAAAAAACACCAACTTAGAATTCTATCAAGTAAATTATCCTTCAAAAGTAAAGGAGACATAGAGACTTTCTTCAAAAAAAAAAAAAAAAAAGGTGTAAATTCGTTGCCAGCAGAACCGCCCGCAACTAAATGATAGAACATGTTCTCCAGGGAAAATGAGACTTACATAGGCCAGAAATACAGATCTATGTAAAGAAAGGAAGAACATCAAGAAGGAATAAATAAAGGTATATAAAATCTTTTGTTTTTCTTAACTGATCTAAAAGAGAACTGCTTTTAAGTGATAATACTAGCAATGCATTAGATGATTTGCAGCATTTGGATAAGTGAATATGAATGACAGCAATGTTATAAAGGTTAGAAAAGAGGAACTGGCAACAATTTGTTATAAGGTACCTGCACTAAATGTAAAGAAGTAAAAAGACTTATTGGAGGGTGGGCTTATATTACTTTTTACCGTATATTGCAACCAGTGAAACAAAAAGACTTACTGGAAAGTGGACTTATATTACTTGTTACTGTATATTGCAACCAGTGAAACAAAGCAACCAGTGAAACATTTTCATGAAAATGAGTAATTGAAACAAAATGAAATAATGTAAAATGTTGAAATAAAACCAGAGAATGCAGACAAAGAATGTAATGAATAAAACCGTTATGGTAGGTATCAATCTAACTATATCAATAATAATTTTGTATGTGAATGGTCTAAACACACCAATTAAAATACAGATATTGTTAACTGGATACAAAAAATAAGAGTTAACTATTGTGTTGTCTAAAGTAAAGCTACGTTAAGTATAAAGACACAGGTTAAAAATAAAGAGATATACTATGCTAATGGTAAATAAAACAAAACTGGAGTAGCTATAGTAATTTCAGACAAAGCAAACTTCAGAACAAAGGAAATTATTAAGGATAAGAGTAGTATTAGATAATGATAAAAAGAGTCAATTCTCCAGGAAGACATAGCACTCCTTATCATGCATACTCCTTACATCAAAATACATAAGACAAAATCTGATATAACTTAAAGAATAAATGGACATATCCACAAAAAGAACATATATTGAAGTCTTTATAATTTGACCTTATTTGAAGTTAGGGTATTTACACAGATGAGTTAATTAGAGTGTGTATTAATCCTTTATGACCAATATTATTATTAAAAACGGACTTTTAGGCACAGACGTGCACACAGAGAGAATATCATGTGAAAATGAAGGAAGAGATTAGAGTGATGTACACAAGCCAGAGAAGTCAAAGTTGCCAGCACACCACCTAGAAACTTAAAGAAAGGCACGGAGCAGATTTTCCCCAACATCACTGAAAAAAGAACCCTGCTGGCACCTTGATCTCAGACTTCTAGCCTCCAGAACTATGAGATAATTAATTAAATTCTGTTGTCTAAGCCATCCAGTTTGTGGTTCTTGTTTGTTTTTTTTTTTGAGACGGAGTCTCACTCTGTAGCCCAGGCTGGAGTGCAGTGGCGCCATCTTGGCTCACTGCAAGCTCCGCCTCCTGGGTTAGCGCCATTCTCCTGCCTCAGCCTCCCAGTAGCTGGGACTACAGGTGCCCGCCACCACGCCTGGCTAATTTTTGTATTTTTTAGTAGAGACGGGGTTTCACTGTGTTAGCCAGGATGATCTCGATCTCCTGACCTCGTGATCCGCCCGCCTCGGTCTCCCAAAGTGCTGGGATTACAGGCGTGAGCCACCGTGCCGGGCCTATCTTTCTTTATGGCAGTTCTAGCAAACTGATATGAATATCTTTATGTGGAAAACTACCTATAGCTCTACATACTATTAGAATAGCTAAAATCCAAAAACTTGATAATATAAATGCTGGTGAAAAAAAATCAAGCAATTGTTGCTGGTACTAATGCAAAATGTTACAGTGACAGCGACTTTGGAGGAGAGTTTGGCAATTTCTTATAAAACTGAGCATAATCTTAGCATATCATTCAGCAATGTGTGCTTGAGCTCTTATCCATAATTTTAAATCTTATGTCCTTATGAAATTCCACATAAAAATGTTTATAATGACTTTATTCATAATTCATAATTTCCCCAAACTGGAAGCAACCAAGATGGATTGCAATAGGTGAATAAACATCCATTCTGTGAAATATTAATCATCAATAAAAATAAATAAGCCTTTAAGGGACATGAAGATATGGGTGAACCTTAAATACATATTGTTATGCATTTTTAGGTGTAAAAAGTTGTTTTAAAAAGGCTACATACTGTATAATTCCAATTATATAACATTCTGGAAAGGGCAAAACTACAAAGACAGTAAAATGATGAATGGTTGCTAGAAGATTTGGAAGACAAGGGAAGGTTGATTAGGTGAAGGATATGGAATTTTTGGGGCAGTAAGACTATTCTGTATGACACTATAATGGTTGATACATGACTTTTTGCATGCGTCAAAACCCATAGAAATTTACTACATGGCGAATTCATTTTAACAATTGCAACCTACAAAAAGTAATAATGAGCCAGACCTGGTGGCTCATGCCTATAGTTCTAGCACTTTGAGAAGTCAAGGCAAAAGAATGTCTTGAGGCCAGGAGTTTGAGACCAGCCTGGGCAACATAGCCAAACCCTGTTTCTACAAAAATAAAATAGAAAATCAGCCTAGTATAGCAGTATGTGCCTGTAGTCCTAGCTACTCAAGAGGCTGAGGTGGGAGAACTGCTTGAGCCCAGGAGTATAAGGCTGAAGTAAGCTGTGATCACGCCACTGCACTCCAACCTAGGTAACAGAACTGGTCTCCAGGAAAAAAATAAAAAATAAGAAGCAGCAATTACATAGGAGGTTTGCAAATCATAGGAAGAAATATAGATTGTAAAAAGAGAGTCTAATTATATTATGAACTATTAAATAACCTAAAAGAAGGGGATAGGGAGAAAAGTGCCTTTGAGTGGAGTCTGTAAGACTAAAGGCAAAAACAAACTACATACAAGCACTCACTCTACTTTTTTTTCTTTTAGAGACAAGGCCTTGCTCTGTTGCCCAGGCTGGTGTGCAGTGGTGTGATCACAGCTCACTGCAGCCTCAACCACCAGGGCTCAAGGGGTCCTCTCACCTCAGCCTCCCAAGTAACTGAGACTATAGGCACACATTACCTCACAGAGGTAATTTTTAAATTTTCTTTTTGTAAGACAAGGTCTCGCTCTGTTTTCCAGGCTGGTCTAGAACTCCTGGACTCAAGCTATCCTCCCAAAGTGTTGGGATTACAGACGTTAGCCGCTGCACCTGGATACACTCTACTCTTGATAAAGTTGTTTCACATAGCAGTATATGTTAACGATCCTAATATCACTTTACTGGTATACTGGAATTGAACAATTAAGAATGACGCATAATGAGAACAAATTTTCTCACTGCTGGAGTAGGACATTACATATAAGGAATGAGAGGAGGCTAGAAAAATTCATGTAGTAATAGATTAGTGTCAGAGAGATCAATATAAACTCATGTTAAGCTTAATATAGATACAGATGGTTACATATATGTTTTTATACTGGGCAATATTCACACTTTTAAATTTTCCTGCTCTTTCAGCCAAAAGGACCTAAGAAGACTTGATAATTAAATGTATTGTGGCAATTCTTGGTGGGAATCGTGGGTTTTAAAAAAGGACATGAGGTAAAAACTCAATAAAATTGAATAAACTATGGACTTGGTAATAATGTGTTAGTATTGTTTTCTTAATGCTAACAAATTAAATATACTAATTTAAGATATTAATTGATATGGTTTGGCTGTGTCCCCATCCAAATCCCACCTTGAATTGTAACTCCCACAATTTCCACATGTCATGGAAGGAACACGGTGGGAGGTGATTGAATTATGGGGGCAGGTCTTTCCTGTTCTCATGATAGTGAATAAGTCTCACAAGATCTGATGGTTTTAAAAATGGAAGTTTCCCCGCATGAGCTCTCTCTCTTTTTGCCTGCTGCCATCCATGCAAGAAGTGATTCACTTCTCCCTGCCTTCTGCTATGATTATGAGGCCTCCCCACCCATGTAGAACTATAAGTCCATTAAACCTCTTTTTCTTCCCAGTCTCAGGTATGTCTTATTAGCATCTTGAAAATGGACTAATACAGTAAATTGGTACCAGTAGAGTGGGGAGTTGCTGAAAAGATACCTGAATATGTGGAAGCAACTTTGGAACTGGTAACAGGCAAAGAATGGAACAGTCTGGAGGGCTAAGAAAAAGACGGGAAAATGTGGGAAAGTTTGAAACTTGGTGACTTAAGTGCTGTTAAAAGCATTCAGTTTAAAAAGGGAAACGGAGCATAAAAGTTCAGAAAATTTGCAGCCTGATAATGGGCTAGAAAAGAAAAACCCATTTTCTGAGGAGAAATTCAAGCTGGCTGCAGAAATTTGGTAAGTAACCAGAAGCCAAATGTTAATCACCAAGACAATGGGGAAAATGTCTCTAGCGCATGTCAGAGATTTTTATGGCACCACTCCCATCACAGTCCTGGAGGTCTAGTAGGAAAAAAATGGTTTTGTGGGCAGAGCTCAAGGTTCCTGTGCTTTGTGCAGTCTAGGAACTTGGCGCCCTTTGTCCCAGCCAGTCCAGCTGTTACTAAAAGGGGCCAAGGTACAGCTTGGGCCATAGCTTCAGAGGGAGCAAGCCCCAAGCCTTGGCAGCTTCCACATGGTGTTGAGCCTGCCAGTGCACAGAAGTCAAGAATTGAGGTTTGGGAAACTCCACCTAGATTTCAGAGGATGTATGGAAATGCCTGAATGTCCAGGCAGAAGTCTGCTGCAGGGGCGGGGCTCTCATGGAGAACCTCTGCTAGGGCAGTATGGAAAGGAAATGTGGGATTGGAGCCCCACATGGAGTCCCTACTGGGGCACCACCTAGTGGATCTGTGAGAAGAGGGCCACCATCAACCAGACCCCAGAATGGTAGATCCACCAACAGCTTGTATCGTATGCCTGGAAAAGCCACAGACACTCAACAGCAACCCATGAAAGCAGCCAGGAGGGAGGTTGTACCCTGTAAAGCCACAGGGGCAGAGCTGCCCAAGATCATGGGAACCCCCCTCTTGCATCAGTGTGACATGGATGTGAGACATGGAGTCAAAGGAGATCATTTTGGAGCTTTAAGATTTGACTGCCTTAATGGGTTTTGGACTTGCGTGGGGCCTGTCTGTAGCCCCTTTGTTTTGGCCAATTTCTCCCATTTGGAATGGCTGTATTTACCCAATGCCTGTACCCCCATGCTTTCTAGGAAGTAACTAACTTGCTTTTGATTTTACAGACTCACAGGTGGAAGGGACTTGCCTTGTCTCAGATGAGAGGTTGAACTGTGGGCTTCTCAGTTAATGCTGAAATGACTTAAGACTTTGGGAGACTGTTAGGAAGGCATGATTGGTTTTGAAATGTGAGGACATGAGATTTGGGAGGGGCCAGGGGCAGAATGATATGCTTTGGCTGTGTCCTCACCCAAATCTCATCTTGAATTTTAACCCCCATAATTCCCATGTGTCATGGGAAGAACCTGGTGGGAAGTGATTGAATTATGGGGGCAGGTCTTTCCTGCACTGTTCTCATGATAGTGAATGAGCTTCCAAAAATCTGATGGTTTTAAAAGCAGGAGTTTCCCTGAACAAGCTCTCTCTTTTTGCCTGCCACCATCCACGTAAGATGTGACTTTCTCCTGCTTGCTTTCTGGCATTACTGTGAGGCCTCCTCAGCCATGTGGAACTGTAAGTCCATTAAACCTCTTTTTCTCCCCAGTCTCAGGTATGTCTTTATCAGCACCATGAAAATGGACTAATACATTAATAATGAGGCAAACTGAGTGTTGGGTATGTGGGAACTGTCTGTACTGTTTTCTTAATTTTGGGGGGGTTATTTTTGAGACAGTGTTTCACTCTGTCACCCAGGCTAAAGTATAGCAGTGCTATCACAGCTCATCATAGCCTCAACCTCTCAGACTTAAGTCATTCTCCCCACTCAGCCTCCTGAGTAGCTAGCTTAATTTTTTTCTGTAAATGTGACTGTTTTAAAAAATCAGGTCTACTTTTAAAAATTGTGGGGATTAATTGGATGAGCACCGGAATCAGCTTGAAGGGACTCCTGGTTACCAAAATTTGGGATAATTTGAATGGCAATAATGAGAGTAATTCATTATGATCCATAAAATAGAATGACTACCCATGATTACAGACTGATATAAATAACAGTTGAATAAATAAACACATCAAGAAGGGACAGTTCTTCCTCACAGTAAAATTTGTACTTAGAAGGAGTGATAGAAAATCACCATTGAGCAATCAACATAGAAATAATTGTTATAGGCAAGAATAGTTTACAGATGCTGAGACTAGTGGATGAGAGCATAAGGAGAAACAGGGCATTCTGCATAGTCTCAGTTTATCTCCCCACAATATAATAGTATAGAAACCTGGTACACAGCACCTTAATCAAATGATCAAAGTTGACCTCACCAGTACTGAGATGTACTGTTATCATCAGCTCCCTGGTTTGTTGCTCTGAGAAGGGAACAATAATAAGTTTGTGGTATTTATGCCGATAATTAATAACTGTAATGTAAATATGGCAAAATATCAGACATTTGGGACATGGACATTCTAAAAGATAACTTTTCAATACTCTTCACAAGTTTCATAAAAGGTTATGAAAGGCAAAGTGTGACCAAGTGTATTAGTCTATTTTCATATTGCTATAAATAATTGCCAAAAATGTAAGTGACAGACTGGATAAAGAAAATATGGTACATATATACCACAGAATATACTATATGGCCATAAAATGGGATGAGATCATGTCCTTTGCAGGGACATGGATGAAGCTGGAGGCCATTATCCTCAGCAAACTAATAGGAACAGAAAACCAAATACCACGTGTTCTCACTTATAAGTGGGAGCTGAACAATGAGAACACATGGGCACAGGGAAGGGAACAACACACACTGGGTTGTCAGGGGTGCTGGGGGAGGGAGAGCATCAGGATAAATAGCTAATGCGTGTGGGGCTTAATACCTAGGTGATGGGTTGATAGGTGCAGCAAACCACCATGGCACGTGTTTGCCTATATAACAAACCTGCATGTTCTGCACATGTATCCTGGAACTTGAAATAAAATTAAATCAAAATTAAAAAAAAAAAGAATTGCCTGAGACTGGTGAGACTGAGTAATTTATAAAGGGAGCAGTTTAATTGTCTCAGTTCAGCATGCCTGGGGAGGCCTCAGAAAACTTACAATCATGGCAGAAGGTGAAGAGGAAGCAAGGCACCTTCTTCACAAGGTGGCAGAAAGGAGAACTGCTGAGCAAAGGGAAAAGAGCCCCTTATAAAACCAACAGATCTCCTGAGAATTCACTCACTATTGTGAGAACAGCATGCAGGAGGCCGCCCCCATGATTCAATTACCTCCACATGGTCTCTCCCTTGACACGTCGGGATTATGGGGATTACAATTTAAGATGAGATTTGGATGGGGACACAAAGCTTAACCATATCACCAAGGAATTTTTCCAGATTGGAGGAGACTAAAGAGACATGACAACTACATGCAATTTACTATCCTGGATTTGTCATTAGGTTAAATGTGAATAAATTGTATAGATTAACAGTATTACAGACTGAACATATATGTCCCCCAAAATTCATATATTAAAGCTCTGACCCCCAATGTGGCTGTATTTGGAGTAAGGAAGTCATTAAGGTTAAATGAGGTCATAAGAGTTAGGCCCTGGTCAATAGGATTGGTGTCCTTAATAGAGGAGATGCCAGAGAGCTTGTTCTGTATGCACAGGTACTGCAGCGAGGCCACATGAGCACACAGAAAGAAGGTGGCCATCTAAAGCCCAATGGGAACCCTCATCAGACACTGTGCTGGCACCTTGATCCTGAGCTTCCTAGGCTTCCAGACTGGATAAAATAAATGCCTGCAGTGTAAGTCACCCAGCCTGCAGTATTTTGTGATAGCAGTTTGAGCAGACCAATACCAATAGTTATTAAAAGTATGATATCAGTGTATTGTATCAATTATTACCAAACCCTAACGTTTAGGCCTGGGTACTATTTTAGTGACTTTTTGTACTGTTTAGAGTGTATTTTTAATACTTTATCAGATACTGTTTATATGTGGAACAATTATTCCCTTCCGTGAATCTCTCCCTGATGCTCCCACTCCAGATAATGAGGCAAGGGACTGAAAACCAGGAGATTAATTACAAGACTTCATAGAGAAAAAATAGATCCTCACTTTCTTCTCTGCCCAGAAATCAGAACGCTATCAGTGTGGCTGCTATCTAGGTAAGAAATGGAAGTAAACTCTCTGAAGAAATAAAAATTCCCCCGAAAAAAAATTCTCAATGTAAAGAGCACTCCTCCCAACTCCTCCACCCACATTCCAAATGACGTTACATGGATGATGATCCCTGCTCTGGTCATGGAGTTGTAAGGATTTGAGCAATAATCTTCAGGTCCTTGGCTCTCAACCTGTGTGCAAAACTATATCAAAAGAATGATACTGAGAAGAGCAATATAAAGTAGACAGGGTGGCTTAGACTCTTTGATCAGTTGAGGCAACACATCTTACCAAAATGAATGTTTTATTCCTTTTTTCCTTGCCTTTGTTTTTTTGTTATACTCATATCATGGTTTATATTCAAAACTTCATAAATTGATTCGAGTTCTGGGCTATTTTTTATTAAGTATGATTGAAAAATGTCATATTCATTTTGACTCAGTTATTCGCAGTTATGGTAAGCTGTTAAAACCATTAAGGATTTTTAAATCTTTTAAATGTTTCTGTGTCTCTCTGTCTCATTTTCTTAATCTATAATATGGTGATAATAATAGTCTTGTAGGGCTGTGGCAATTAATTGACATGATCCATGGCAAATGCATAGCATTGCACCAACAAATAAGCATTCAATGAAGGTCAGGCATTACTGTTATTGTTTGTTATTACTATTTCCTTTATTTTTTAATTATTCAATCAATCATGTAATTATTTCCTAAACTAATGTTGACAACACACAGTAAGGGGTACCAATCTCTGAGCAGTTGGAAATCTGCATATAACATTTGACTCCTCAAGAACTTAATTACTAATAGCTACTGTCAACTGAAAGCCATACTGATAATGTAAATAACCGATTAGCGCAAATTTTATAAATGTATTATATATGTAGTCTTATAATAAAGCAAGCTAGAGAAAAAATATTGTTAAGAAAATCATAAGGAAGAGAAAATATATTTACTATTCATTAAGTGGAAGTGTAGAAGGGAATCATGAAGGTCTTCATCTTTATAATCTTCCTTCTAAGTAGGCTGAGGGAGAAGGAGGCGGAGGAGGAGAAGTTGGTCTTGTTCTCTTAGGGTGACAGTGGCAAAAAAGTCCACATATAAGTGGATCCATGCAGTTCAAACTTATGTTGTTTAAGGGTAAACATGGTTACATTATGTCTGTATTATGTTTGTCAACTTAAATTTTGGAAATACACACTATAACATAAAGTGACAAATTACAAAGACTACTCTCAATTTTTCATCTTTAAAAATGTTTATTTTTGAGGAATAACATGTTAGTTTTTTTGCTTTGAAATGTACCTTGTAAAATGAGGGTGTTCCTTACTAATATTAAGAATAGAATAGAAGTCAATAATGCTGTTGTGAAATAAATCTACTCTAGGGTATTAGAGTTCATTGTTAGCTTACATAAAATAAAAATGTCAGCAAACTTAAGTTCAATCAATTTATGGACTTCCTTGTTTTATTGTATTATCTTTCTCATATCAAAGTCAAACCTTTGTTTATTATAAACCTTTATGTTTTATTGTTTCTGACAAATTAAATAGATTATTCTGACAGACTTAAATGTTACCACTTCATATTTCTGCTATTATCTAAACACAGCTGTTTTCTTTAAAGATATCTCCCAATAATCCCTGCTGACAACATATACAAGTGCAATTTGTACTGCAATCTTTTCAAAGTTCTCTTAGTAAATGAATAGTACCTTAGTTACAAAAAGGTGAATAAAACATAGCAGTGCATAATATTTTAAGTTTGTAGGAATTATTTAATATTTGAAGAAATTTTAAACTTGTCATTATATGAACATAAAGAGTCATCTGAAGGCATAAAAAAAGACTGGAATATTTCTTTTTATTTTACCCATTGGCCATTGCTAAACATCTTTGTTTTAACCAGGATATGAATTTTGTTCTGCTCTGTTTACATCCTGGAAGGTTCATCCCTCTGGTGAATCGCATTGCGATACTGGCACAGAATGACAAGGGTATTTGTGTGCACGTGTGTGTGTGTGTGTGTGTGTGTGTGTGTGTGTATTTCCATATCAAAATGCCAGCATTAATAACAGTATTTGATTTAAAAGTACCCACAATACACGCACAAAAAAGCTAAAACTAAATATGTGATCTTAAGACAAATGTGTTATAAATCAAAAAATATATAAGTAAATACAATTATCTATATGTATAATATAAACATAATATAAATCAAATACAGAAAAGTATAAATATATTATAAAGTATTAATTATAATACACATTAGCAAATATATATAATTCAAATATATTGCCATTCTATTATAAATTAGTAGCAGATACATACCTAAAATAAGCAGTATAACGTGTGAAAGTAATTTAAATATAAAATTGAAAGTAAAATATTATTTTTAATCAAGTGGATTTTAAAAAACAGTGCATCAAGGTTTCCCTGGTTGAGTTGAAGCATCTTTTTGAGCATTTTTTCCTCAGCTGATGAGAAATAGAAATCTTCTCTTTATGGCTCCATAGCATAATGTTGCTAAATTTAGTTTGAGTACACTGCAGGCCAAAACCCTTGAGCTCAGCACTCTTACATTTCTGCCTCTTAAGGAGCTCATCACATAGGCATGCACCATCATAGCCAGGCATTCATGTTACATGTGTAACAGGGGGGAAATTTCATTTACAATCTCCACGGAATTCTATGAGAGAATTCCGGATAGCATCAGACCCGTGTTTACTGAGCACTATCTCGAGCTTTGGTAAGTAAGTTTGGAGGTGGAAGCTGGGAAAAACTGAATTACTTAGCATAGCAATTGGGGTGAGGAAGATTCAGAGACAAGGAAATAGAAAGCCATGAGGCTAACCTAACCCCTGTGGACAGAGAGCAGAAAAGAGCAATGCCCATTAGTGATGAAAGTGTGAAAGAAAGGGAAGTTAAGAGAGCATAGGTGTCTGCTTTATGTTTTAAATTTGTGTGCTTTGGTGTGTGCTGAGGGCAAACAAGGGTAACTAATGCCAAGAAACATGACACATGAGTATCTGGTCAAGTCACAGGTTTAGAACATTAATATTGAATTGTTATCTTGTTGCCATTCTATGTTCTCATCAGTGAGTGTCTAGCTTGTGCCTTTCTCTATTGGTTATGACATCTTGGAAATTCCTTTTAAATTAAAATTATTTAGAGTTTTTAGTCAATTCTGGAAGCACTATTCTCTCTTTTTCTAAACGTTGAAACTTTAAAAGTAAAAATCTCCTTAGTTCTTGGAGTCTGACTTGACTTAGGATTTGAGTGCTGACCTCAAATCCTAAGCCAAAATATTTAAAATTTCAAAACTAAAATCAGCATCTTAAATCCCAGAAGTCATATAGTACAAATGAACACTCCCTTAGGTATATAACATGATCAAAATCAAATAAAACAAAATACACCATGGATTACTACACAGCCATAAAAAAGAATGCAAGAATGTCTTTGCAGGAACATGGGTATAGCTGGAAGCCATTATGCTAAGCAAATGAATGCAGAAACAGAAAACAAAATACTACATATTCTCACTTACAAGTGGGAGGTAAACGCTGGGTACTTTTGGACATATAGATGGGAACAATGGACACTGGGGACTACTCAGAGGGAGGAGGGAGGAGACAAGTGTTGAAAACTAACTATTGGGTGCTGTGATCAGTACCTGGGTGATAGGATCAATCATACCCCAAACCTCAGCATCACACAATACACCCAGTAACAAACCTGAACTTGTATGCCTTGAATCTAAAATAAAAGTTGAAAATATTTTTAAAAAGGTCAAACATCAGTCATGGATTCTCTCCAAAGGACTAGCTTCTAATGCTGATGTCAACTCACTTCCACCTTTGTAACAAAGATAAAAAAAATTGTTACAAGTACAAAACCAGAATTCTTATTTTTTTCAGTTTTGGTAATTTCTTTTAACCTATCTTGATGCTCAGCAATTCTTTCTTTCGCTGAATTGAGTCTATAGATGAGTCTTCAAAGGCATTCTTCATTTCTATTACAATGTTATTCATTTCTAGAACTTCCACTTAATTCTTCCTTACGGTTTCCCTTTCTCTGCTGAGATTACACATTTAATCTTGAATGTTGTCAACCTTTTCTATTAAACTTTTAACCTACTCAATATAGTTATTTTAACTTCCCTGGAATATAGTCCCAACATCTGTGTCATGGTAACCTTGTCTCTTGGAGTATGTTGCTTTATCCTGTCTTATGTGCTTCATAATTTTTAGTTGTTTTTGAAAGCTAGACTTCTTATATAGTATAGTAAAGACTGAGGCAAGTAGCATTATACACCTGGAAATGGACATTCCTTCCTTTTAGTGGGGCCTTGAGTGAGGGAATTACTCTAAGTAAGAGTTGGCCTGGGTTTGAGATTTTTTGTTATATGTTACCCTTAATGTATTATAGCCTTCAAATTCCTCTAAATAAATAGTATCTGTTTAGAGAAGGGGTTAGTTTTCCAGATATTTTTGTTTGTTCGGTTTTCCTCAGTATTTATTCTGCTGAGAGCTTTGCATTGCATCTCAGAGATATTCTCTCTTTAGCAAGGTCCTTTCTATTCTAAGCCTGTTAGCCTAGTGGTAATGGTGGGGGTGGTAGGTGTTTTACATTGTTCAAATAAGGGCTCAGTCTTAGGAAGACACCATATCTCTGCTGACCTTTCCCCAGGGATAGAGTTATTCTCCTCTTCTTTTACCTCTCTTGCGATGGATTTTCATCAGTGCCCTAATGACAACAGTGTTTGCTGTCTTTTTCCCTACAGATGAAGGCTTTTGTTTGGTAGGAGAGATGGGGATGAGTATCTCAGCAGTGTTCTCCACTCCTGTCCCTACTGGGAGCTCCTGGTGCCCTCCCTCTGTTCTGCACTATGAGACAGACATTCTCAGAATTTTCTCAGTCTTTCTGTGACCACCAGGTAGTTTGTGGACAAAATGCTTTGAAGAGAATATGCCACTCTCAGAAGCTTCACCCCTGTCACTAGCACATACACCAATATACCAATCACTCAAGCTAAACCACTCCTGCCAGTGGGTGTCTGACTATTTCTTGCACAAGAAATCCAGGGCTCCAGTCTTTTCTCTCCCTGCCTGTCTCTCCTTAGATTTGGGGCCAGCTGGTTGCTATGCAACCTCAGCCCTCAAGTGGATCAAAAAAAAGATTATAAATCTGATGCGTGTTTTGCTTATTTTTACTGTAAGATTGGAGACCTCACTTTTTGCAGCTCCCTACATCTCTGAATGGAAACCAGAAGGAAGTCTTAGTCCTTTGAATTTTTTTAATTTTTTTGGTTACTCTCTTTGAAAACTGCTTCTTTTGACTTGTTGTAAATATGTAATCAGACCAATGACATAACAATTTCAATTGGGATGCATGGAAAGATACATATAAAGATAATTTTGAAATAACCAATCTTTACTGAGTAAAATATTATCTTTTCTTTTACTTTACATTCTAAAATTACTGTTTCAGAGATATTCACACACATCACAGCCAAATACATGCACAGAAACAGTAAGAAAGACTAATGACAACAGTGTTGTCATTTGCCCAAGGAAAATGTGGAATAAATATTATCTCAACCTACTACTAATTTAATAAAGATTTTCTCCCCAGAGAAGCAGAAGTCACTTTAAGGTTTCCTAATTTGTTTTTATATTGCTGTTAAGAGAAGCAATAATAGTCCTTATCACACATGCTTCTGGAGAAATTAAAAAAGGTACCTTGCCCCAAGCCAAAGTTAATTGGTCCGTGAATCACTGGAAACTCTAACTCCCAATCCAGTGAATCACTCCCTTCAGCTCCCTCTCTCCAAATAAAACCTATTTAAGTTTCCTGAATGCTTTAATTAAGCATCAGATATTAATATGAATGTTCCACTTTTTAATATTTTCTTTTTGTTTTAGTCTACATCTAAAATCTTGTGCTAAAATTTTTCACAGAAGATGTGTCTTATATATGAACTAGACATATGCACTAGAAACCAGCTTCCTCAAATCTTGTAGGTTCTGTGCTGCTTTCTAACCCCGTGCCAGTAATGCTCACTGATTTCTATAATTTTCTAGAAATTTAAATAAAATAAAAGACCTACAGACTAAATTCTGCCTCGAGAACTTTTATGGTAATTATAATAGAAAATAAAGCAACACTTACGAACCTCATCTGTGGAGATGCTGCATTGACAGCGCTGGAAGCTTGTTTATCCTCACTGGTGAGTAGATCTCACCTTGGTTGTGCAGCAAGCTTCCTATAGAGCAGTACTTCTCAGACTTTCCTGTGCACATCAACTCCTGAGTTCTTGTGAAAGTGCTAATTACGATTCAGTAGGTATGGGAAAGCCAAGATTCTGCATATCTAAAAAGCTCCCAGGAGATGCTGGTCACCAGACAATATTTTGAGAGCATTTTTAAAAACAATAAACCTCACTTTTAGAGATTCTCATGCTGAAGATCTCTGAGGGCAGCCTTATAATTGTATTTTTTAGGAGTTGCAAATGTTGATTTTATTGCCCAGCTAGGGAAAAGGATCACTTCTGTGGGTGTATCTCACCTTTGTGAAAATGTTTGCAAAGGGTCTTGTACAGCTCAATTTTGATATCTAATTTGCATAATATATACAGTATTTTATTTACTAAATTTCATGTTAAAGTATTGGATAATACAAAAGATCCTTTTTGAAATTTTATGGAATATGACAAAGTAATGTATTATTTTAAATTCAATTTTCACATAGGCTTTTTAAGCAGGGCATACTTTTTTAGAATTTCTTTTACTGAGATGAAAATTATTTTGAATGTTCTCCTTTGCATAACTCATATTTTCAAAGATTAAATCGTTGTAAGGAGAAAAAGTTATTCTGAGGCAAGATAGTGTGATTCTAGCAGTTTAAATTTCTTTAAGGATGACTGAATTAAATTCTAAACCATAATTACAAAATCTCTGACTTCACAAAATTTCTGATAACAGGATTTGAGGCTATCTTATTATAGGATCCCATCAAAGAAAGATTCTTTCACTATTAAGAGTTTTGCTCTATCTTTACCCACTGAACCAGAGGGTCTTAATGTTTTTCTCAGCTTAACCAAATTTTAGACAGGCTTCCTTCTGCATCTCAGCCCCTGGCTTCCCTTTTGTTAGAGTATTTACTTTTGAAAACTTGTAATTGTAAATTCTTCCTCGCCTTTTTGAGATACAAATTTCTTGAAAGCCTTTTCCAGTTTTTACAACCAAGACTGTCTCTCAAGAACCTGGGAGCCAAAACTCTGAAACGCCCTAATTTAGAAAGACGGTACCTCTATCTCCCAGTATCTGAGAGGGGAGGAGCCTATCTCCTGTTACAAAAATACTAGAAAGTTTACTTTCCCTTTGGGTGAGGCCAATGAGTAAATAAAGAGGGCCTTTGTTTCAGTAGAATTAAGTTGAGCTTTGACCTCTCTCCCCTGTTGCAATATGGAAGTCCTCACTTATCCACAGGGGATACGTTCCAAGACCCCCAAAGAAAGCTTGAAATCACAGAGAGTACCAAACCCAATTTCCATCAATCCAAACACACTTCTGTTCATGTCCTGTACCCACAAATTTAATGCCTTTTTCATCTTAACTAAGCACTTGACATGCACTGTGACCATAACTTTTGCAGTGTGAGGTGTGACAGCAAAGCTAGCCTAAGTTTCTTCTTTTTTCTTCTTCACTGTTTCACAAATAGAAGACTCATTCTTACCATAGATTTTTAGAACCTTAGCATACATTTTTTTCCTTTATTAAGTTGACAACTTTCACCTTTTTCCATAAAGGAAGAATGTTACAGCTTCTCTTTGGCATATCCAAATTGTCAGCATCACTACTTTTATGCCTTGGGGCCATTATTGAGTAAAATAAGTGTTACCTGAACACAGCATTGTGATACCACAACAGTGAATATGATAACCAAGATGGCTACAAAGTGACTAACAGGTGTGGATACACTGGACAAAGGGAGGATTCACATCTCAGGCGGAGCAAAGTTGGATAGCATCAGATTGCATCACACTACTCAGAATGGTCCACAGTTAAAAATTTACAAAATTTTTATTTCATATTTTCAGGCTGCAGTTGACTCCAGGCAACTGAAACCACAAAACTCAAAACTGCAAATAAGGAGGAACTACTATAGTCTTGAATAAAGCCTTCCTTGAGTGTTTAACTTTAACCAGTTTAATTTTTGCTTTGACATCATCTTAATATTAAACTTTTACAGTGAATTTAGGAAATAATCTGTTTCTTAAACTTTCGTAACAGAGTCTCTCATCTCTTTCCCACCACTCTCTAATACCAGCCCATTAAGATTTTTCTTATTTAATTGAACCATTAGTAGCTTTCACCAAAATGTGGGTTCAAGTACATATGTTTCAAAACTGATTGAACATACACTTCCTTAGCTGAGTGAATCTACAACATAGCACTTATTTAAAGGGGCGCTGGGTTTAGGCAGGGCAGTGGTTATATTGTCAGACCTTGAAGTAAGCTTTTCAAGCATGAGTTTACTTCTGAAATGTGGTTGATCAGAATAATTTGTGTGAGATTTTCAGATAGTTTCGAATATATTATATTCATAAAGGTCCTCAATTGGACATTTATCTCTCCATGGACAAGGAGAGAAAGACAAACAATAATTGGCTGGCAGTAATAGACTAACCACACTTATTTTTCTTAGCCTATGCTTTTTAAAATTCTATGCTGCTTCTGTCTATTAGACAAAAAGCCCTTTAGGAAAAAGACCAGGTTTTGTTCGCCATTTTATAAACAATGCCTAGTACAATGTTAAATGTACACACACAAAAAAGAAGTTATAGTGGCAAGATGCAAAATCAAAGTTAAAAGTAGTCAGATAAGATTTTTAAAAAATCAAATGTAAATATCAGTGCAAATTTTTTAGTGTCTCAAATAGATCCAACAATGGGAATACCATAAATTTTGTAAGAGAGACTCATGGAAGATCAGTTCTCCAGATATAGCTGGAAGGTTCCCTGTTTTATGTACTAGAAACCAACTTCCTCAAATCTTGTATGTTCTATGCTGCTTTTTAACCCTGTTCCAGTAATGCTCACTCATTTATATAATTTTCTAGAAATTTAAATAAAATAAAACACCTGTAGACTAAGTTCTGCCTCCAGAACTTATATGGTTTCTGTCAATTTGTTTTACTTTGTTGAATCTATCAGTTAGGACTTTCTAGCTGTCTTACAGAATTTTCTGTCTCATAGAGTGTTCTCTCTCAAATTCCCTTATGAGCATGTTAAGTTAGTGTAACAATAAAATGACATTTATTGAAGGTGACTATGTTTTAGGCACTATTTTAGGCATTTCACATACATCAACTTATTCAATCTCTGCAACAATCCCATGAGGTAAGTACTATGTTTAACATTTTACACATGAGAACACTGGCTTCAAAAATATCACATACCTTTTCAAAGCTATGCAACTTCCAAATTACAGAAACATAATTCAAAATTCATGCCCAAGCTTATTTGATTCTAAAATTGGTTATTTTAATCCTTTACCATATTGTGACTTATTATATAATTTTTCATTATCTTGTGGAAAAATGCTTA
This sequence comes from Homo sapiens, assembly GCF_000001405.40. Classification (NCBI taxonomy): domain Eukaryota; kingdom Metazoa; phylum Chordata; class Mammalia; order Primates; family Hominidae; genus Homo; species Homo sapiens. The sequence goes on along the minus strand of NC_000006.12, from coordinate 95,875,580 downwards.
ATTGATATATGTAACCACAGTCAAACTCAAATTTTGATAAAATATAGATTTATTGAGTATAAAACAGTTATAGCAATGTGTATTCTTCATTCCTCTAAATGTCGTTTTTCCTAGATATTTAAAAATATTATTTCCTCAAGATGATCCTCAAAAATTTCAATAATGTAGCTCTTGCTGTGAAGTATTCACATCTCATGCAACTCTATGATTACTTACCATAAAAGCCACTCATATACTTATCCTTTTATATCCAACTGCTGTTTAGAAAATATTTAACAAGCAACTGCATTTAAATTCTTTGACATAGCTGAGAATTAATTCTATTAAGTATTCAGAGCTTTCAAATACAGGTAAAGAATTCTGAACAGCAATTTACCTATACTTTTCTTAGAATTCATTAAATATCAGAAGAGCAGCTTCATTAATTTGTTAATTTTGCTTTTGTCTGCATTGCTACACATTTAAAGATGTCTGTTACTTCTCAAACACACATACATTCTGTCCGTGACTTGGGGATGCCAGCAAGTTGTATTATACCGAACATGTTTATACGTTACATAGGAAATATATAGGTATCATAAATTAAATATTTGTTTGAGAACTTTATTAACACTGACCTTTATGTCTAGGACTGTTTCACTAGTCTCATCTGCTTGCCCACCCTATAGGATCAATCCCTTAGCCATCTTTAATACTCCTACCATGCCCATCTCCCATGGTGCTTCCTCATCAACTACCACAGCTGGGAAAACTTATCCCTAGCTGCACAGTGGACTTATCTGGAGAACTTTAAAATGTACTGATGCCTGGGCTTTGCTCCTAGAGACTCTGCCCTGTTGGTGGACTTAGGCATTTTAACAACTTCTCAGATACATGTGATATGTGACCAGGATTGAGAACCTCTGGACTTCAATCAGAGCAGGTATTTTATTTGATTTACTTGTAGTGTTTACCCAAACACTTCTTTCAAATGCAAACTTCTGCTTCTTTCAGAAACATGTTTAAAATCTATTGCAGAGTTGTTGTGCCTTTCATATGACACCATGGACATTAATCTATAGTACTAACACTCTTTGAGAAGTATGGTACTTAATGCTACCTATTTCTTTTCCTTACTGACCTCTTGGAGATCAGAGTTTATGACTTAATCTCTCTAGTCCTTACCTTTGTCATTTATAAAATGAGAATTGCAAAAAGGCTCATTGTGTTCATTAAAGGAAACCATGCATATGAAGTGTCAAAAACATAATGAATGATCAATAAATATGTGTTTAAGGAGCACATTAAGTAGTAGAAAATAAGTATTTATTCTAGATGTAAATAAGCATATTACTTGCTCCAGAAATAATGTATGCTTATCATAAACAATAAAATAACTTCTTTTATTTCTACAGTTTAGGACACTAAACTGGAATAGCTTCTTCTGTGCATGTCAGTTCCACCGCCCCACTGACCAACATGCTGGTCAGTTCCACTGCCCCACTGAGTAGATGCCTTCTTCTTTCTTCCCAGGCAACAACGCTTCCCTCCAGGCAACTCACCTGCAAGAAATGTGCTCCTTACTCTGCTTAGGTCTGACACCATGAGCTGGTACACTCTCAGGCAGCTGCTCAAGTCTCTGCACCTGTTACCTTGTCCCACACTTGAAGACACCCTGGTCATCCCACTTGAGCACCCAGATCTTTCCCTGGACTGCTTTCTGCTGGGTGTTTCCACCACTCTGTTTGAGCTCAGACTCTCTGGAATAGACCATTCCTCTGTGAGGCCCCCTCACACCCTGGTTGGGCTCCAAAATGATGCAGCAGGCTGCACTCCCTTGAGGGTACTCCCCCAACCCCACACAGCTACCTTTCCATGGGATGCCAACGTGGAGATACCATCACTTCTCAGAAATAGCTCCTCTCCCCAGTCAGCCTCCCTCACTCTTCTCAGCATGGACTCCTTATTTGGCTTGGCACCTCCTAATAGTCTTTGGACTGTGTCTTAGTCCTTATGGGCTGCTATAATAGGATAACATAAACTGGGTGGCCTAGAAACTACAGAAAGTTTTTTCCCCCACAGTTCTGGAAGGTGGAAGTCTGAGATCGAGGTGCAGGCAGATTCAGTGTCTGGTAACAGCCTTCTTCCTGGTACATAGACTGCTATCTCCTAATTATGTCCTCACATGGTAGAAGGAACAAGAGAGTTCTCTGGGATCACCTTTATAAAGAACTAATTTCATTAGTGGACTCTTCATTACCTAATCATCTCCCAGAGGACCCACATCCAAATATCATCACCTTAAGGATTAGCTTTCAACAGGCATATGAATTTTGAGGCACATTAATATTCAGTCTATGGCTGACTGAAATGTTCAGAAAGGAACAGGGAAGAGAAAGAGCTTCATTGCTTTTTTAAAATACCATCTACTAGTATATTTCTATTAACAAAGTGACCTTCTATTTGTATATATTTACTAGGAAAATTATGTGTACTGAAAAATATGGTTTATTCTTTAAAAATTTATGAATAGCCAAGACCAAGTATATTTCCTTTTTCTGTCTGGGGCAGGGAGATAATATGTGAACCTGAAACACCTTGTAAAGGCAATAATGTTAACAAATAATAAATGTTGAGAATAATAGAATTAGCAAAATCACCAGTTTGCAAACATCAATATAGCAATTGGCTTCTTTTCTTTTTTCTTATTTTTCTGTGAAATTTCAACATTTATTTTAGGTTCCGGGGTACATGCACAGCTTGTTACATGGGTATATTGCATGACACTGAGGTTTGGGGTACAAATAATCCCATCACCCAGGTAGTGAGCATAGTATTCAATGGTTACTTGTTCCCATCCTTTCCTCCTTACTCTGGTAGTCCCCAGTGTCTGTTGCTTCCATCTTCATGTCCATGTGTACTCAACATTTTGGCTCCAACTTATAAGTGAGAACATGATGTATATGACTTTTTGTTCCTTTGTTTTCTGACATAGGATAAGGCCCCCAGCTACACTCATGTTCCTGCAAGGGCATGACTGCATTCTTTTTTATGGCTATGTAGTATTCCATGGTGTATATGTACCATATTTTCTTTATTTCATTTTGGTCATGGTATATACCTAAGGGAGTGTTCATCTGTACCACATGACTTCTCCTGGGATTTAAGATGCTGACTTTAATTTTGAAAATGAAAATTAAATATCTGGCTCAGGTCAGCCCCTAAATCCTAAGTCAAGTCAGACATCAAAAACTAAGGAGATTTTTACCTTTAAAACTTTAGAAAAATTTGAGAGAGAATAGTGCTTCCAGAATTGACTGAAGTTTCTAAATAATTTTATTTTAAAAGGAGCTTTCCATAATGCCATAATCAATAGAGGAAAGTTTATTCACTTAGGATAATGGCCTCCAGCTGCACATATATTTCTGCAAAGGACATGATTTCATTCTTTTTTATGGCTTCATAGCATTCCATGGTGTATATGTACCACATTTTCTTTAGACAATTCACTGTTGATGGACACCTAGGCTGATTCCATGTCTTTGCTGTTGTGAATACTACTGTGGTGAACATGAGTGCATATGTCTTTTTGGTATAATGCTGCTGGGTTGAATGGTAGTTCTACTTTAAGTTATTTGAGAAATCTCCAAACTATTTTCCATAGTGGTTGAACTCATTTACATTCCCACCAACAGCGTATAAACATTCCCTTTTCCCACACCCTCACCAACGTCTGTTGTTTTTTAACTTTTTAATAATAGTCATTCCAACTGATGTGAGATAGTATCTCATTGTGGTTTTAATTTCTCTGATGATTAATGATGATGAGCATTTTTTCATATTTGTTGGTTGCTTGTATATCTTCTTTTGAGAAGTGTCTATGTCTTTTCACCATTTTTTTTAATTGAGTTATTTGTTTTTTGCTTGTTCAATTGTTTAAGTTCCTTATAGATTCTGGATATTAGACCTTTGTCAGATGCATAGTTTGCGAATATTTTCTCCCATTCTCTAGGTTGTATGTTTATTCTTGGTAGTTTATTTTGCTGTGCAGAAGCTCTTTAGGTTAATTAGATCCCACTTGTCAATTTTTGTTGTTGCAATTGGTTTTAAGGACTTAGTCATAACTTTTTTCCCAAGGCCCATGTATAGAATGGTGTTTTCTAGGTTTTCTTCTAGGATGTTTATAGTTTAAGGTGTTATATTTAAATCTTGAATCCATATTGAGTTAATTTTGGTATATGGTTAAAGGTAGGCTTCAGTTTTATTCTTCTGTATATGGCTAGCCAGCTATCCCAGCACCATTTGCTGAATAGGGAGCTTTTACCACATTGCTTATTTTTGTTGACTTTGTCAAAGATCAGGTGGCTGTAGGTGTGCATCCTTGATGGTTGACTTTCAGGGACATGTTTACCAAATGAGTAGTCACTGATTGATTAAGAAGATTTACAAACAGTTCTAAAGTTTACTGATTATCACAACTATAGAACAATATGGGAATTATATAAAAATTTGTAATTCTGTATATGATTCTAATTGCTGACTAGGTCTAAGATGAATTAAAAGCCATAAACACATGAAACAGTTAAACAGAATTATTTTATTTCAAGCCTGGCATAGCTAGTTTTCATGATGTATTTCTAATACATTTCTAACTGCTGAAAATTTCAAAGATTTTGAGACATTAAGATAAACCAAAGTGGACTTCTATTTTAATACCAGGTTTTTATGTTACATAATCATGTGACAATATGCTGGAATTGTTAAGCCTTAGTCTCTGAAGATGAAAGCCTTCAATATTTTAATCAAAAATAAATTTTTAAGACAAGGTCTTAACTCTGTTGCCCAGGCTAGAGTACAGTGGCACAGTCATAACTCACTGCAGCCTTGACCTCCTTGGCTAAACCAAAACTCCAAGCTCAGCCTCCCGAGTTGTTAGGACTACAAGCACACACCACCATGCCCAGACAATTGTGTTATTTTTCTGTAGAAATGACATCTCGCTATGTTGCCCAGGCTGGTCTTGAACTCCTGAGCTGAACCAATCCTCCTGCCTCAGCCTCTCAAAATGCTGAGATTATAGGCATAAGCCACAATGCCCAGCCTTAATCAGATTTTTTTCTTTTGGGATTCTCCTCCCCTCTGCTGTATTTCAGAGCTTGAGCAAAAGCATTAATTTCTGTAGTATGATTCCAGAGTTACAGAATAATTTCTATTGTAGACACATTAAAATTAAATTGAATATGAGAAGACACAGCAAATGATATTTGATGCATCACTGTGATGCACCTCAGTGTGAGGGTTTTTAATTTTGAAAATATTTTAAGACTGAGTTTTAGAAGAATAAAAATCATTTATTGCAGAAAAGAGCTTATCTCCAGATAGTGTCTGTTTATGTGATTATGATTACTTTTGTCAGAAACTGTGTAATTGACAATAATTTTCTTGCTAATCTAATTAAGCTATGAACAAATGGTGGAAGAAATTGCGAAGAATTCTGGGTAGAGCCTTGGGGCCTTCTTGATAGATATTACTGATGGTACTAAGTTCATTGTTCTGAGTCATTATTTTATGCATTGGATGGTGAAGAGAGATTTGAAATATCATTTTTGCAGTAGTTCCATGTTTAAACTCCCAAACATCCTACTGGTGATTTAAAATAAGAAAGTTTTTAACATATGATAATATGAAAAAAAAAGAAAAACAGGAGGATTTAGGTAGCTGGCAAACTAGCAGTGAATCGAGATCTGTGTCCTCACTGCGTATGTCCCCCTGCCTCTGACCCTCAGGACCCCAGGTGTTTCCACCTGTCTCTAATGGAGGGCTCTCACCCCTTTCTAAGACCAAGTGAGTCTTGGGCTGGAAGGAAATAGCAGAGTTCTGGCTCTGAAGCCAGTTGCCTTGGCACTAATCCTCATTTCTTTTACATGCTTAAAATAATCACATTTTAAAAGCAAATATCAGTACATGCCTGGCAAGCAGAAGTATATGTGGAGAGACTACAGGTCAGGCTATTTACAATCAAAGCTGCTTCAGAAAATCCTAGATTCTTGATTATTATATCTATGATTATTTTACTCAAATATCTGTAGATAAGCCCCTCCCCTTCCAGTCCTTTCCAGCCTCACCCTACTTGTACATTGCTTCAGTCAGTCATTTATTCACAATCAATTTACTTAACCATTCAATAAATATAAATTGATGTTATACTTTTATATCCACCACAGTTCTAAATGCATCAGTAGTTTCCCAAATACCTGACATACTTCTCCATTTGATTTTTCTCAATACTTCATTCTCCTTTTTATGGCAGTTCACATGTTTTCATTAACAATTATTTCCATTCAAGTATTTGTGTTCAGTCATCTAGATGTAAACTCCGTGAGAGTGAATATCACGTCTACCATTTATTCTAGCTGTGCCCACCACATACCTGGTTTAAATTAGAGCTTTTCAATACACGTTCATATAATAAATTATTCAATGGAAAGATCTGTTTCATATTCATTCTTTTTTATCAAGTTCAGGTATACGAGGCAAATGTGGAATAGATAACTAATTAATTAATGTATTCAAACTTTCTATTTTTCACCCAATAAAGTTTGTTTTTTAAAAATTTTTAGTCAGATCATCTGTTGAATATTTGCAGCTTTGCTCCATAGCCTCATACTTTTTCTGAAACCCTTGCTCACCAGACCTGCCTGTATTGTACTTGAACATTGTGTCTTCTATCATTACCCTCCCTCCTAGTAACCTGCAGCTCCTCTCCTAACTATTCAGATTTCTGTATCTAACATTTTCTGTTCTGCCTCTTCCTAGTCCTGGCCAAGTCCTGGCGTGGTAGCCTCTATTCACCCTGTGCTGAAACCCCTGGCCTCAGAAGGTCTGTCCTGTCCTAAATCTTGCTACTGGGGCCCAAGTTTAAATAAGGCCACATGATAACATTTTTTGATTTGAGATTTTGAATTGGTTAATTCTACATTGTACTCAGCATTTTCCTTAAAATCCTTTTACGTCATATGTTTCATTTGGAATGTCTATCTTTCCATGAAAATTAAAAATCTGTGAAGGCCAGTGACTGTGATATGTTTTTTTCCACTTTCCATTTTCTCCCTGTCATCTGAGCATCTAGCTCAGTGTATTATTTATAATAGTGACATGATGCATAGATAAAATAAAAACTAACTAATAAAATAAGGAAAAATGTGTAAGATGATTAAGTATTTATTATATAACAACTACTCTCAGAAATATGAATTATTTACAAATCTATGTTCTTAGTGGCATCTACTCTATTAAGTCAATCTTGAGATACAAAATTAGACTCATGTGAGCCTTCCAAAACATTTGGGTCTTTTAAATTGAGTAGACTATTAATTTTAGATTTTTTACTATAAATTTTTAAATAAAATTTCAACTAAGATGAAATTATCTGTAGGCTCTCAGCTATTATTGCTATATAACAGATGTACAAGAAAGATATATAATGTAACTAAAGTATGATATTATTATACATTTATAAAGATCTTTATAGTTTAATAATAATCATTGACTGCATTTCTCATTTAATCCTTAAAATACTACTGTGAGGTGAGTATATTATCTCCATTTTTAGGTATGGAGCTCATTTTAGGTATTTTAGAGATGTTAAGCTGGCTTTTCCCAAAATAGAAAAACCAGAACTTTTGATACTATATTTAATACTTTTCCTACATGAATACCTTATCTCTGGTTTTGATGCTTGGAAATATTTAATGAGCTAAGCTTTGTTTTTTTTTAAAAGAAATCTTAGACTCCTTTATTTTTTTATCAGTAGGTGAAAGCTTGATACTAATATATATTTAATTTGAATCCATTCAGCTCTTGGTCTATTGTAAACACTTAAAAATTAATTCTACAGTATGTTTCTGAATTATTATAAAATCATGATGAATGTCACAGGGGAGCTATGTCTATTTGAGCCCATGGCATGAGGGTAAAACAACTTACCAAGACAGTTGTAGATAAAGAGAGGTTTATTAGAGAAAGTATGAAAGTATGAAAGTATGTTACAAGGGAGCAACAGGCAGGATCAGCAGAAGAGGAGCTGACTATGAGGAAACAAAGGCTTGCTGGAGATTTTACAGGATACTATTTATGCCGCATGCTGTGGAGGGCTTTGTGCAATACTGATAACTCCAAGGTTGTAGTGAGCTAACCTGAATTTTTTTTTTGTATCAGCCAAGGGTCTGGTGATAACTGGGCGCAGAAAGATTGTGAATTATTTGCGCAGGAGGGCTATGTGTCCGGGACCGTGAAGTAAGGCAGACTTGTAGCTAATCTGCTTCTTCTTTCTGCTTTCCCCTGCTCCCACCAGTCTGACTTCCTTTCCTTAAATAGGACACCACAATGAAGATTATATAAAGGTAACAACCTGTGAAAGTCAAATCAAGTATTAGAGCTGGAACAAACAGAATGCATCCAGACCCAGTGTGGTCAAATGACTTGCCCACGGGCATTGCATTCTTAGAGTCAATATTCGGAAACGAAATTTACTTGACATGACACTTCTCTACACCATATTAGAATTCATGAAAATATAAATATGTCTTAAACACTTTTTTACGTTAGGCGCTCCACACCTGCCTCTGTAGGTCTACTTGTCGGGGTCACATATTGTTGCCGACCATCTCTGCCAGCAGATGTCAGCACCACATGCATATACTGACATTTTTATTAGGCTAAGAGACACCTCATAAATAAAGGCAAGAAAGGATGGTTAAAACTCATGAGGTAAATCTATTTTCATCTATAATACATACAGTTAGCTTTCATGTGGATTTTCTAATTATAAATTTTGATAATTTATGTTTAAAATGTTAAATGCTTTTATCACTTGCCTATTACGTATGTATGTCTGCATTTGTACCCTTAATTTTCAGTGTTTAAGGCATGTTTATGAATAAGACAGTAGAAAAAAAGGAAGAAAGTGATAGGTATTGGGTCACGCACCTTGTGGGGATACTCATATATAGTATCTCCAATTAAAAAGTGAAATATCACAAATAAATTAGTCATCTTCCAACTTCGTGTGGCAGTTTTACCTTTAACATACTATTTTTTAAATCTACTTTTTTGTTAATATAAAGAAAATTATGAATCATGACTTTACTAATTCATACATGTTAAGTGTTTGGCTAAATGGGGGAATGTAATAAAGTATAGTGAGTTTTTCTTAAAGCAATTTCAAGGTTTCACATGAAAGTTTCAACATAGAGGCTTTATATGAAAAGGAGCTCAAACAATTTTATTTCACCAGTGTATACAGGTAACATGTAATTTTATACTAAAAGTAAATTTAGAGATTTTTCTAATCTATTTTCATATTATAGATAAGGAAATAAAGCCCATAAAAGGTTAAAGACTCTTAACAAATTTTCCAAATTCCCAAATCATGGTATCTGAAGGGGGCAGAGATTAGAATTTATTTCTCCTAGGTCCCTATTCTGAGTCCATCCTTGTGCACCAAGCCTCAAGGCCAACATATTACCTGTTAAATGAATCATTCTATGTCATATTAAAAAGTATTGCACAATCACCTCTTTTTCAGGAAAGTGTGTTTTTAGAATCAAGACCATGAATTGTATCTTATTAAAAGCTATTTAATAGCAAATTATATTGCCTATTACTTTAATATTTATATTATAGGCACTTTATCACTTGTAAATAAATAAAATTGTATAGCACTAAATAAAGATGCCTATTCTCTTAGGCAATCCGATCAATCAATCAATGAATCATTGAATATATTTTCAATATAGTGAACAGAAGAACACACAAGGTCCTAAATTTGTAAAAACTTATGATTTAGTTGGAGAGATAAAATAGATTTATAAAAATTAATTGACTATATAGAGCTGAGAAAAGCTCAATGAATATAATTTGTGTTGGAGTTTGTAAGGTGGTGGGAAAACCTTGACATACCTAACAAATGAAGATAGGGGAAATTAACTTAGGATTTTTAAAAATAACAAGCATTTAAGTAGGTGAGAAGTAAAGAGAGATAGGCAAATGCATTGTGAGAAAACAAACCAATTGGAGAAAACCAACCTGAACTCTTCAGTTTGAGATGAGTGTTTCAGGAGAAATAAAAATGAACATATATGCATTCCTTAAATTATTTTTATTGTGTTTCTTACCTCATTCAAGAGCTAATGGTCCTTTTTTGTAGAAATGTGGAATCTTCCTACCCATGAGCATGGAATGTTCTTCCATTTGTTTGTATCCTCTTTTATTTCATTGAGCAGTGGTTTGTAGTTCTCCTTGAAGAGGTCCTTCGCATCCCTTGTAAGTTGGATTCCTAGGTATTTTATTCTCTTTGAAGCAATTGTGAATGGGAGTTCACTCATGATTTGGCTCTCTGTTTGTCTGTTGTTGGTGTATAAGAATGCTTGTGATTTTTGTACATTGATTTTGTATCCTGAGACTTTGCTGAAGTTGCTTATCAGCTTAAGGAGATTTTGGGCTGAGACAATGGGATTTTCTAGATATACAGTCATGTCATCTGCGAACAGGGACAATTTGACTTCCTCTTTTCCTGATTGAATACCCTTTGTTTCCTTCTCCTGCCTAATTGCCCTGGCCAGAACTTCCAACACTATGGTGAATAGGAGTGGTGAGAGAGGGCATCCCTGTCTTGTGCCAGTTTTCAAAGGGAATGCTTCCAGTTTTTGCCCATTCAGTATGATATTGGCTGTGGGTTTGTCATAAATAGTTCTTATTATTTTGAGATATGTCCCATCAAAACCTAATTTATTGAGAGTTTTTAGCATGAAGGGGTGTTGAATTTTGTCAAAGGCCTTTTCTGCATCTATTGAGATAATCATGTGGTTTTTGTCTTTGGTTCTGTTTATATGCTGGATTACATTTATTGATTTGCATATATTGAACCAGCCTTGCATCCCAGGGATGAAGCCCACTTGCTCATGGTGGATAAGCTTTTTGATGTGCTTCTGGATTCAGTTTGCCAGTATTTTATTGAGGATTTTTGCATCAATGTTCATCAAGGATGTTGGTCTAAAATTCTCTTTTTTTAGTTGTGTCTCTGCCTGGCTTTGGTATCAGGATGATGCTGGCCTCATAAAATGAGTTAGGGAGGATTCCCTCTTTTTCTATTGATTGGAATAGTTTCAGAAGGAATGGTACCAGTTCCTCCTTGTACCTCTGGTAGAATTCTGCTGTGAATCCATCTGGTCCTCAACTGTTTTTAGTTGGTAAGCTATTGATTATTGCCACAATTTCAGATCCTGTTATTGGTCTATTCAGAGATTCAACTTTTTCCTGGTTTAGTCTTGGGAGACTGTATATGTCGAGGAATTTATCCATTTCTTCTAGATTTTCTAGTTTATTTGCATAGAGTTGTTTGTAGTATTCTCTGATGGTAGTTTGTATTTCTGTGGGATCAGTGGTCATATCCCCTTTATCATTTTTTATTGCGTCTATTTGATTCTTCTCTCTTTTTTTCTTTATTAGTCTTGATAGCGGTCTATCAATTTTGTTGATCCTTTCAAAAAACCAGCTCCTGGATTCATTAATTTTTTGGAGGGTTTTTTGTATCTCTATTTCCTTCAGTTCTGCACTGATTTTAGTCATTTCTTGCCTTCTGCTAGCTTTTGAATGTGTTTGCTCTTGCTTTTCTAGTCCTTTTAATTGTGATGTTAGGGTAAAATGGCCATACTGACCAAGGTAATTTATAGATTCAATGCCATCCCCATCAAGCTACCAATGACTTTCTTCACAGAATTGGAAAAAACTACTTTCAAGTTCATATGGAACCAAAAAAGAGCCCGCATCGCCAAGTCAATCCTAAGCCAAAAGAACAAAGCTGGAGGCATCATGCTACCTGACTTCAAACTATACTACAAGGCTACAGTAACCAAAACAGCGTGGTACTGGTACCAAAGCAGAGATATAGATCAAGGGAATAGAACAGAGCCCTCAGAAATAATGCCGCATATCTACATCTATTTGATCTTTGACAAACCTGACAAAAACAAGCAATGGGGAAAGGATTCCCTATTTAATAAATGGTGCTGGGAAAACTGGCTAGCCATATGTAGAAAGCTGAAACTGGATCCCTTCCTTACACCTTATACAAAAATTAATTCAAGATGGATTAAAGACTTACATGTTAGACCTAAAACCATAAAAACCCTAGAAGAAAACCTCGGCAGTACCATTCAGGACATAGGCATGGGCAAGGACTTCATGTCTAAAACACCAAAAGCAATGGCAACAAAAGCCAAAATTGACAAATGGGATCTAATTAAACTAAAGAGCTTCTGCACAGCAAAAGAAACTACCATCAGAGTGAACAGGCAATCTACAAAATGGGAGAAAATTTTTGCAATCTACTCATCTGACAAAGGGCTAATATCCAGAATCTACAATGAACTCAAACAAATTTACAAGAAAAAACAAACAACCCCATCAAAAAGTGGGCAAAGGACATGAACAGACACTTCTCAAAAGAAGACATTTATGCAGCCAAAAAACACATGAAAAAATGCTCACCATCACTGGCCATCAGAGAAATGCAAATCAAAACAACAATGAGATACCATCTCACACCAGTTAGAATGGGGATCATTAAAAAGTCAGGAAACAACAGGTGCTGGAGAGGATGTGGAGAAATAGGAACACTTTTACACTGTTGGTGGGACTGTAAACTAGTTCGACCATTGTGGAAGTCGGTGTGGCGATTCCTCAGGGATCTAGAACTAGAAATACCATTTGACCCAGCCATCCCATTACTGGGTATATACCCAAAGGACTATAAATCATGCTGCTATAAAGACACATGCACACGTATGTTTATTGTGGTATTATTCACAATAGCAAAGACTTGGAACCAACCCAAATGTCCAACAATGATAGACTAGATTAAGAAAATGTGGCACATATACACCATGGAATACTATGCAGCCATAAAAAAGGATGAGTTCATGTCATTTGTAGGGACATGGATGAAATTGGAAATCATCATTCTCAGTAAACTATCACAAGGACAAAAAACCAAACACCGCATGTTCTCACTCATAGGTGGGAATCGAACAATGAGAACACATGGACACAGGAAGGGGAACATCACACTCTGGGGACTGTTGTGGGGTGGGGGAAGGGGGGAGGGATAGCATTAGGAGATATACCTAATGCTAAATGACAAGTTAATGGGTGCAGCACACCAGCATGGCACATGTATACATATGTAACTAACCTGCACATTATGCCCATGTACCCTAAAACTTAAAGTATAATAATAATAAAATCAAAAAATAGAAAAAGAAATGTGGAATCTTGTTTATTTGCCATTATTTTAAATAATTTCAAAAAGTAAATGGCATATTAAATAAACTGTCTGATGTCCTGAAGCAAAGGCATTATCAACTATTTGAAGCATCAACATTTTTATCCCCTGCAAATTTCCTTCAGGCTGAAAGCTTAGTTCAGTAAAATAAATTTAAAATTTCAAAGTCCCATACATATATTTGTAGAAACCCACACATAATGCAAATGAGAGAGGAATTGATTAGTAGCATATGTAAAAAGGAACTATGAGATAATTGTGTGTGTGGTTGCCAACAGAATACATTTGATATAAATATCATATTTTGAAAAATGAGAATCATTTATATCTTACAGAATAAACTTACATCATTTGATGTCTGCCTTTAGGTAAATCTTATAATTTTATGTTTCAAATAGATAATATTTGCTTTATTGATTTTAAATACCAGTTGGAACTTCTATCTGACTCCATTTTATCAGCATTGCTGTAGTATTTATTCAGAAGATTCTTTTGAAAACTTGAGAAATAATTTGACATTAATTATCCATGAAATTTTTGAAAAATACTGCTAATGAAGACATGCCATTCTGGGAGACATCATGAAATATTTTTTCTCTCAAAATGTTACTAGATTCAGAAATAAATTAAACTGAATTCCTTAAGCTTAGGTGTCTACCTAAACTTTTCAAAGGGAATAATAGAAACTAAACAGACTAGTGAGTGGGTGTCTTTCTATATGTGGGTGTAATTGGAAAGCCTTTTAGAAGCACTTTGCATAAGCGATTTTTTAAAAATGTAATGCTTTTCAATTATTACTAAAAACTGGAAGACATGAAGAAAAGAAAATCTTCAGGAGCCAAGATGGCAAGTGAAGATCTGAAGGCAAATTATCTGATATTAAAGAAAAATGTGAATCAGCTAAAATTTCATACAAAAATGTAATTGCATTTAAATTATTGGCTCATTTATAAACCAGCCTTTCATAAACTAAAGAAAAATAATAAAATGTAATGTGGATTTTTATGGTAATACAAATTCTTTGTGTGAACTATTTGTGTATGATTCATCTAGTCTATCCAACAGTTTTGAGAGCTTGGCAAGTGTTTCTTAATGTACTCAGCTGCAGGAAATTTCTTATGGTTTTGTCACTTGGAGAAAAATTTATGATGATGTGCTTCCAATAAATAGACTATATTCAAAAGGAGAATTAAAAAATAAACGGTCTTCAGGTGATCCATGTGAAAATTATAGCAAACAGTGTTAAGGAGTCTGAAAGGTGAGAAAAAATATACTTTTACAATCTGTTAGTGACATTTCTCTCAGATAAGTTCATAAGACTGCATTGTCAGAAAATAGAAGGTAGAAGTAAAAGGGGGTGTGAAATAGAAAAAGAAAGAAATAATATTAATTGAGGGGAAGAAACTGTGCCATGAGGGGAACAGAGGTATCAGGCAATTAAAATACTTGCTTAATGTAGCTTGATGTAGGATGTTATATATCTGTAATTTCCTTAACCAATCAGAAAGTTTTTATTCAAGCTACCACTAGGACATTTTATCCTAAATTTAATTACTTTTCAACTATTATCCTAGTAGGCATGTAGACACAGCATTATTTAAGCTATTATAAATGCATTCACACCTTTTGTTTGGTGATGAAATAGAGATGCATTTAGGAAGCATTCTAATTCATAAAACAGAAAAGCTAGTAAGTTTTTCAACCTGTAGAATGGAGAAAGCCATTATTGGATTTAGGCATTTTTTTGGGAGAAATAACCAGAAAAAATAAAAAAGACAAAATTGCAGCAGCAGATTTAGACTTTCTCCCTTTTTCCTCCACATTCTTCTACTTTAGTTACTTTCTCTTTCTTTTTATTATTTTTCCCATTGATTCCACACTACTCACCTGACAGATTCTACAGACTCCCTATTGCATGGAGAAACTAGATTTTCTGTGCTTGTGCACCCACATTTTTGTGTGCTGTGTGTCTCAAGAGCTTGAGAATTTAATAGATTCACAAGTGTTTGTTTTGTAGCATAGTCAATTCTTATAAACTACAAAAAGGATGTCAGTCCAAAAGCTTAATTCTAATTTTTGCTCTAGAATTTATAAAGTGTAAGTACCCCCCTCTGATTAATTGATTATGGTTTTCACATAGCAGTTTCCCTTAATCTGCAAAGGTATAAAAGTTTAGCTTTCATTGCCCTAAATTATGCTGTTTAAAATAATACAAGACATCACACAGCTTTCGCTTCTGGGAAAAGATGGTGAAGACTCACATTTTCTGCTCCTCTCCTCAAAATATGCTAAAAGAACCTGGAAATAAATAATGATGAAGGGACCCTGAAATTTAAAAAGAAGAAAAGAGGTTGATTTGAGGCCTTGGAACTTGAGAAACAAAATACAGTGAGTTTTCTAGGTTTTCTTTTTTTTTTTCCCCTTTAATTTTCCTTATACTCAGCTAGGTGCCAAACAAACATGCAACCCAGAACCACCAGCCACCTGTTTATCCTTCCTTTCAGCTGGTGATTTTGTCTAAAAATTCGGTGAGAAAGATGAAACTATTAGATATAAATCTCTTATATTTCCACTACCAACTACAAATCTACTACACTCACACCCACCGTTTCCTCCTTCCTTCCTGTTACGATGTAGGACATGATTAGCAGAGACTGTTCCCTCTACCTGAGCTGTACAGCCAGTTCCCTCTCACCTTTTCAAGAAATTCAAGCTCATTCATACACTCTACCCAGCATCATTATTTTTGCCCTCACAGCTGCTGAACTACTAGCATATAAACAATTTTTAGCATCTCCTGCTAAAATTTTTCTTAAAAAATAATTCTTGAATCCATAGTCCCATCTACAAATCCTGTCGTGGAATATTTTACTACTTTATTTTCTGTTCACCTTTACAATCTAATTCTAGGAAAAAAATTGTATTTGTTGTTCCCACTTTATTATTTACTTATCAGTTCTTGTTCTGTTTTTGTTTATATTTTATTCTCTTTTTGCTTGGAATTTATATATTTTTCTGTTCTTTCAGTGGTTAACTTTATGCTTCTAAGCATCTAAAGTTAGGCAATATATTCTAAATACACACATGGACAATAGAGCTCAGCACACTTTAAGGTATCATTGTCCCTTTCTCAACTTACATGCTATAATTGAACCATATTTTAGTCTTATCATTTGTTATTCTTATAAATTATCTTTATGATTATATTAGTATTATATTAATAACAAAAAGTGTTTTCTTCCATTACTAAACATTTGCTTTTTAATTTTATCATTGCTTCTTGTATTTCAGACAATTTGTCTTATTCCTTAAGTAAAGCCTATGATGTTTCCATAACATCTATCATAATTTTCCTAAAATAATTCTGTCTACTACTAGTTATTTAATATATGTTGTTCTTGCTAGATTTTAAGCTCAATAAAAGCAGGCCCATATCTGTTTTTCTCTACTATTTGTTACACTTGGCAGAGATTCTAGTAGTATGTTACTTTTTGGGTGACATTTGGTGGAATAAACGTATTTTAATAAAAAATTTTCACTTCTGCTTTTCTTTATATTGCAAAAGGTAATTTCCTCTCATGCCATAATTCTAGTTAGCCAGAAAAGTCCCTAAATCTACCTTGAGTCAATGAAAAGATGAGTTAGAGACAGGAGGAAAGTGGAGGGTATAGAAAGAAAGAAAAGAGAACATCGATGTATGGAAAGGCGAGAACTGTAATTTTATTTAAGTCTGGTGGCAATTCTTTTCTGTTTTGTTTTGTTTTGTTTTTACCATTGAAATGATCATTTCCTATGGCTGTACCTTGCCTATAGAATATACTTATTTCATACTTCCTGAATGATTAGAGGAATAAAAGGCTATAAATTCCTCTGTATGTAATAGAGCTTTTAATTATTTTGGAAATGGCACAATTACCTGAATCTAACATGCCAGGCAAAGACTATGCCATAGTATTTGTTGAAGTGGTTGCTTAAGGAATTTGAAATACGAACGTCATCCAAATATTATTTAGAGAAATACTTATTAGAAGGCAGTTAGGTATTAGTTTAATCTGGCAGTTTGAGAATATATTAATATTTATCAATTTATTTGACCTATATTTCCTATCTTAATTTGAAAAGAAAAATAAACTTTGACTTTTTCTCTCTTGCTTTTTCACAATCTATAATGCATTAGTTGCTTTACCTGTGGTTCACTAATCCTTTTTTTGATTATCTAGTTTCCCTTACATTATGTTGATTATGCATATGTTTGAATATAATTCTGCATATTTTGTGATCTATTTTTGTTTGTTCTCAACAATATGATAAATTCCTACATATCAGGTCTTACTAAACTTTCATCTTCAAATAATGTCCTCCTCAGCCTGGAGCAACATCTTGCACATGGCAAATGTTCAGCAAATTTAGTGACTCAAATTATTTGGCTTTAATACAGCCTCATTCTAATACATTATCATTTCTCTGTTTTCAAATTGGAAATTTGGTGCCAAGCTTATATACAGTCCATTGGAGATATTTTTCCAAGTTCTGGGTGAGAGATTGGATCAAGGAAAATGTAACACTTTAGTATTCTGGTTCCCTAATGTCATTGGTTTTATAATCCAAGAATTTCTAAATTATTTTAAAGTACTAGTAAAACATCTTCTGTTTAAAAGAAATTTTGTTGAAATAGAATTAGTAAGATAAGGGCTATAAGTGATGTTAGCAAGCTGTTAGAATAGGAGTTTTCAGCCCTCATCACCCCTTCTTCCCACCAACACACACAAATTGATTTCAACAACCACCCATGGATGAGAGTACCTCTGTGGGAACTCGGGAGTGTAGCAGAGAGGTCTCAGCACAGAGGTGGAGGAGAAAATCCCAGAATATGGCACCTTAAGTAGGCTAAGATGTAGAGTTTGACTTTACCTGAATCACCCCTCCCTCGAGGTTGCACAGCTCAGTGCTAAGAGAGACCCCTTTGGCCCATGATTCCTCTCACAGAAGACAGTGAGAGCATAGTGACCAGAACACTGCCCAGGAGGCCTACTTCTTTCTCTCCTCATCCAGATCACTGAGGGGATCAAAGCGAAGAATAGTCTGTGGACAGATAAGAGCAGAGGAAAGGGGAGAGGGCTCATAGCAACACAGACAGAGATTTCAGCAAAGGGCTGCAGTTTCTACTAACCAACTGTGGACTCCACCAGAAAGCCTGCCCACAAAGTTCACAGGGCAAATCTCTCTGACAACATACCCAGACAGCTCATTGCACTTCCGCATTTCTCATATTCCTCCCCTGCCCCCCTAGTTCTGCTGGATCGGAGAAGATGCATAACGTTGAACACTTTACGGAATAACCCTGGGGAAAATAAATAGAAAGCTCTCCACACCCGATTTGGCTTTTCAGGATCAAGAGAAGACATAGAGTCCTGAGTTCTCCCCAGGAGGGAAACAAGAGGATTAGTGTGAAAAGGCCTGAAAGGCCCCAGAAACCTTAGTGGGGCTGATGGGTGAAGTAATTTGTCTCCTGAAGCCAGTCAATAAAGACTGGAGGAGGTGACTACTTCTTCAAATGCAAAGATAGAAGTGTCAGAATTCAAGGAACACAAAAAAATTAAGTAAACAGGACACCATCAAAGAAAACATAATTTTTCAGTAACCAATCCCAAAGAAACAGAAATCTACAAATGTCCTGAAAAATAATTTAAAATAATTGTTTTAAGGAAGCTCAGCAAGCTACAAGAGAATATAAATAAACAACTCAATGTTTTCAGGAAAACAATACATGAACAAAACAATAAGTTTAACAGAGCTAAAAATCATAAAAAGAACAAACAGAAAATCTGGAGCTGATTAATACAATAAATGAACTACAAAGATGCAATAGAAAGTTTCAACAGCAGACTCAATAAAAGAATAAAAGAAGTGTACTTTAAATGTAAATAAATTCAAAAAAATAAATACAGTGTCTACATGGATTTTTTAAAAAACAAGATCCAGCAATATGTTGCCTACAAAAATAAAAATAAAAAATAAAAGAATCTGTGAACTCAAAGACAGGTCATTGAAATCATACAGTCAGAGGAGGAGAAAGGAAAAAAAGAATGACAAGTTAAAGTATGGGATTTATGGTGCACCAGCAAGTGAACCAAAATACAGATTATAACAGTTCCAGGAGGAGAAAAGGGAGAGAAATGAGAAGAAAGCTCATGAAAAGAAATTGTGTCTGAAAACTTCCCAAATCTTGGAAGGATATGAATATCTAGGTTAACAAAGCTCTAAGGTTTCCAAACATGTAATCTCTCCCCTGAATTATATCAAGACATATTATAATCAAATTTTCAAAAGTTAAAGACAAAGAAGAAACTTTTGAAAGCAAGAGAAAAGCAACTCATCACATACAAGGTAATGCTTATAGCTTTGGCACCATCATAAAATAAATAAATTATAGATCTACCATTGAGAGTTCAGGACCATACGTACTTTAAATGTAAATAAATTAAATTCTCTAAACAAAATAAATACAGTGGCTGAATGGATTTTTTAAAAACAAGATCCAGCAATATGCTGCCTAAAAAAATAAAAATTTAAAAAAAACAAAAATTTATTTTAGGGTTAATAGACTGAATGTGAAAGGATAGAAAAAGATATTTCATGCAAATAATAACCAAAAGAGAGCAGGGTGAACATAGTTATACCAGAAAAAAATTAGTCTTTAAGTTTAAATCTGTAAAAGGAGACAAATAAATTCATCATACAATGTTAAGTGGGTCATCAGGAAGCTATAACATTGTTTCATATTACATACACCCGATACTGGAGAACCAAAATATATATATATATATATATATATATTTTTTTTTTTTTTTTTTTTTTTTGAGATGGAGTCTTGCTCTGTCACCCAGGCTGGAGTGCAGTGGCGTGATCTCGGCTCACTGCCAGCTCTGCCTCCCGGGTTCATGCCGTTCTCCTGCCTCAGCCTCCCCGGTAGCTGGGACTACAGCCGTCCGCCAGCACGCCCGGCTAATTTTTTGTATTTTTAGTAGAGACGGGGTTTCACCATGTTAGCCAGGATGTTCTCGATCTCCTGACCTCGTGATCCGCCCGCTTCGGCCTCCCAAAGTACTGGGATTACAAGCGTGAGCCACCGCACCTGGCCTTGGAGAACCAAAATATTTAAAGCAAATATTAACAGAATTGAAGGGAGAGATAGACAGCAATGCAATAATAGTAAGGGACTTCAATACCCCACTTTCAGCAACAGATAGATCATTCAAACATAAAACTAATAAGGAAACAGCAGATTTGAATAACATAGACAAGATGGACTTAACAGATATATATAAAACATTCTATCCAACAGTAGCAGAATATACATTCAAGCGACTTAGAACATTATCCAAGGATATGTTGGGCTACAAAAGATTGAAATTACACCAGTTATCTTTTCTAACCACAATGGTATGAAACTAAAAATCAATAACAGGATAAAAATTAGAAAATTCACAAATTTGTGGAAATAAAATAGTACACTTCAGAACAACCAATTGATAAAAAGAAATTAAAACAGAAATAAAAATACCTTGAGACAAATAAAAGTGATAATACAACAGTAGAACTTATGAGACACAGCAAAAGCAGTTCTAAGAAAGTTTATACCAATAAATGCCTATGTTAAGAAAAAAGAAAAGTCTTAAGTAAGCCTAACTTTACAACTCAAAGAATAAGAAAAAAATTTACGAACTAAGCCCGAGTGAGCAAAAATAAGTAAATAATAAATATTCAAGCAGTAATAAATGAAATAGAGACCAGATAAACAATAGAAAAGTTCAGCAAAACTGAGGATTTTTTTGCAAATATTATCAAAATTTTACTTAGACTAAATCTAAGGAAATACTTTTAAAAAGCTCAAGTAAACAAGATTCTAAATGAAAGATAAGGCTTTCAACTGATACCAGAGAGATAGAGAGGATCATGAGATATTATTGTGAACAGATTATGTACTATTACATTGGATAATCTAGTGAAACAGAAAAATCCCTAGAAACTTACAGTCTTCCAAGACTAAACCACAAAGAAATAGAAAATCTGAACCAATCAATATGAGTAAAGAGATTGATGCAGTAATCAAAAACTTCCCAACAAAGAAAAGCCTAGGACCAAATGGCTTCCCAAGTGAATTCTATCAAACATTTAAAGAAGAATTAACACCAAACCTCCTCAAGCATTTCCCAAAACTTGAATAAGAGCAAATACTTCCAAACTTATTTTATGAGGCTAGTATTACTTTAATATCAAAGCCAGATTTCTTTTTCTACAAGAAAAGGAAACTACTGGCCAGTATTTCCGATAAACACAGATGCAAAAATTAACAACAAAATTCTAGCGAACTAAAATCAACAGCCCAGTAAAAGAAGCATTACCATGATCAAGTGGAATTTATTCCTGGGCTGCAAGGATGGTTCAACACATGAAAATAAATACGTGTTATATACCACTTTAACAGAATGAAGATTTAAATCTTATAATTATCTTAATTAATTCAGAACAAGCATTTTCCAAATTTCAACATTTTTAATTGTAAAAACTCATCAAATTAGGTACAGAAAAATATACATCAACACACTAACAACCGTGTACAACAAACCCACAGCTATCATCTTACCCAATGGTTAAAAGCCTTTTGTCTCAGATCAGGAACAAGACAAGAATGCCCACTGTAAGCACTTCTATTCAATATAGGGCTGCAAGTCATACTCAGAGTTAAAAGGCAGGAAAAAGATAAAAGTTGTTCAAATCAGAAAGGAAGTAGTAAAATTGCCTCTGTTTGCAAATAGTATGATCTTGTTTATAAAAGAACCTAGGCCGGGCACGGTGGCTCACACCTGTAATCCCAGCACTTTGGGAGGCTGAGGCGGGCAGATCACAAGGTCAGGAGATCGAGACCATCCTGGCTATCATGGTAAAACCCCATCTCTACTGAAAAATACAAAAAAATTAGCTGGGCATGGTGGCGGGTGCCTGTAATCCCAGCTACTTGGGAGGCTGAAGCAAGAGAATGGCATGAACTCAGGAGGCGGAGTTTGCAGTGAGTCGAGATCACGCCACTGCACTCCAGCCTGGGCGACAGAGCGAGACTCCATCTCAAAAAAAAAAAAAAAATTTCACCAGAGAACTGTTTAAACTAACAAATGAATTCAATAAAGTTGCGAGATACAAAATCATTATGCAAATTTTTGTTGTTTTTAATACATTAACAACAGATTATGAAAACAATAATCTAATTATAATAGCATTACAAAAGTATTTAAGATTAAATTTAACCAAGGAAATGAAAGACCTGTACACTGAAAACTGTAAAACATTGATGAAATAAATTGAAGAAGACACAATAAATGGAAAAATACCCCATGTTCACTGATTGAATTACTATTGTTATAATGTCCTTATATGTCAGATATATGGTTTGCAAAAGCAATCTACAGATTCAATGCCATCCCTATCAAAATTCCAATGGCGAATATTCACAAAAATGTGAAAAAAAATCCTAAAATTTATATAGAACCAAAAAAGATCCCGAGTATCAAAACAATCATGAGAAAGAAAATCAAAGTTAGATGCACCAACTTCCTTATATCAAAATGTATTACAAAGCAAACTATATTTGCAAACTATATTTCTGATAAAGGATTTGATATCCAAAATATATAAAGAACTTACATAACTTAATAGTTTAAGAAACACATTATTTCATTAAAAAATTAGCAAAGCTTCTGTCAATTTGGACTCAGTCCAGGGCCATCCCTTTTCACATAAAATGGAATGAAACAGACATGCACATAGACTCATTTCAATTCTGCCTGTCTTACCACAATGATTTGAAAAATGTGTAAAATAAATTAAATTCACAAAAACATAAAAACTAAGCAAAGACAGGAATAATCAGGAAAAATAGTTAAAGCATGCTGGGCTTAATACTTAGGTGATGGGTTGATAGGAACAGCAAATCACCATGTCACACATTTACCTATGTAATACACCTGCACATCCTGCACATGTACCCTGGAACGTAAAATAAAATTAAATAAAATAACTGGACAAAGACATGAATAGATAATTCTCCAAAGGAGAAATGCAAATAGCCAACAAGTGTATAAAAAGGTGCTCATTAGCACTAATCATTAGAGAAACATGTATCAAAACCACAGTGATAAATCACACCACACCCGTTAGAGTGGGTATTACCAAAAAGACAAAAGATAAGTGTTGGTTCAGAAGTGGAGAAATGTAAATATTTGTACACTGTTGGTGGGAATGAAAATTGGCATAACCATTATGGAAAACAGTGTGGAGTTTCTTTAAAAAATTAAAAATAGAACTATCATATCTAGCAATTCTACTTCTGAATATATATCCAAGTGAAATTAAATCAGAATCTCAAAAACAGATCTGTGCTCATGTTCATTGGAGCTTCATTTACAATAGCCAAAATATGGAAACAACCTGAATGTCCATCAACAGATGAATGGATAAAAAATATGGTATAGATACACAATGGAATATTACTCAACCTTAGAAAGGAAGAAAATTCTGCCATTGGCAACACCATGAATAAAACTGAAAAACATAATGATAAATGAAACAAAGCAGGTACAAAAAGCCAAATACTGTATTATCTCACTTATGCTTGAAATCCAAAAAGTCAAATTCACAGAAGCAGAGAGTAAAATTGCAGTTGCCCGGGGTTAGGAGGTGGGATTAAGATGAAGAGCTAGTGATCAAGTAAACAAAGTTTCAGTTATTAGTTTTGGAGATTCAATGTAGAGACTTTAAATCTATACTATGACTATATGTACTATGTAGACTATTTATACTATCACTATGACTATAGTTAATAAAACTGTGTTGTATATTTGAAATTTGATAACAGATTAGTTCTTATGTATTCTCTTCCAAAAAATAAGGTACCTATGTGAGGCAATAAATGTGTTAATTAATTTTCTCCTGGTAATTATTTCACAATGTATACTTATATCAAAACATCACATTATATACCTTACTATGATACAATTTTATTTGTCAATTATACTTCAATAAAACTGGAAGAAAAGATGTGGGCTAATATAATAAGATTTTCTGATTTGCTTCTATTTGAATTGGAAATGCATTGGCAGCCCGTGGAATGTTGCTATCCTCTGTTTAATATTCTTGCAGTAGTTTTATGTTGAAGAATAGTGATTTATTTAAAAATTATTAAATTACCCACTGTTTCTTAAATCACATTTTAATATAATCCTGAGTTAGAGGACTAATGTCACTTTACATTTTCATATTGATCCCTGTAAGTAATCTACTGCAATTAGTGTTTTCATCCAAGCTCTCATACAACTCTAATGCTATCAATCATAATTTTGTCTATTGAACTTCTTGGAATGTAGTTTTGACCAAAATAAAGCATAGTTAGTAGTATGAGGTAGACTATGTTAGTATAGATTCAGTTTCAAAGAAATGTGTTGAATTGATGCTATCTTCCAAACAGTTTCATGATATTATCTTATTTTATTTTATAACAGTTTGACCAGGTTTTTTGGGAGCACCCAGTAACTCTGTCCTTTCTTTCCAGCGTGCAAACTGGAAACACTTCATGACTTCATTTTTTAAAATCACCAGAATTTCAAAACATATACTTTTGTTATACAAAAATAAACATTTGAAAGAAATATTAAAATAATACAGTGCACTTTTAATAATTATTTTGATTCTTCATTGTATAATGAACTTCATCACATTTTCATCAGACCCCTCTTTTAGATCAATATACAACTCAATAAAATGCCATATTCCTCAGAATTATGTAAAATAATCACAATTTACAGAGAAAATATTAATTTTGTACTTATTAATTTTATTATGTTTATTTTATATTTATTAATTTTTGTGTAAAAGGATATAATTTTCACAACCTGCAAATTCAATATGTAAAACTATAATTTTGCTTATTTTTCCATCACTGAATATAATTATCATCTCAAATCTCCAGTATGTCAGATATTAAAATTTTAATTTAGGTAAATGCAGAGTAAAGTAAGACATACCAGGTTATTTTCCTCATTTGATTCAGGGCTTGCTTAGTCAGTTTAGGGATATCCCCAGTATATTTCTAGAGTTTTGATCCAGATTCTCAAATAAAATCTTGTATCTAATTATTAATAATATGTTTAATAATGTGTAATGTAAAATAGGGCTATAATCCAACTTGGCCATTTAAACAGGATTGCCTTTTAGTCACTAGAAACTCCTTGCTGTAATAAAGTAGTAGCTTATCATTGCTCTGCGGTCAAAGAACTGTTATCATTCACAAAATATGTAAGACATGTTTTAGTCAGAAAGGGAAAAATTGTTAGGGGAGATCAGTAACAAAGGCAGGCTTTAGTAAAAGATTTTTTTTGAAGTATATAACCACTTACTCCATCAAAACATGTCGCTTGCCTTCTGTTTAAATGTTGCTAACATGTAATTGCCCTATTATAATTTTCTGCTTTTAATATCAGTTATCTCAGTAGTTGAGGTTTTGGGACAATTTAATTCGTCCTCTGAAGCAGTGGCTCTCAACTGGGGATGATTTTTCTCCTTGGAGACATGAGCTTAGAAACGTTTCAAAGTGTGTTCTGAGGAGAAATGATCACCACTGAGAACCACTGCATTTAAAGTACATCCCCAAGAGCATTGGTCAATGTTATTATTTCCAGCACTTTTTACAGTATGGGAAAGAAGACTATTATAAGTAGCATCAATGGTTGAATACAAACAACTGCAATTTAACTTAGATATGCAAATGTTTATGTACTTTGTCATTGAAAATATGATGAAATATTCCCAGGCTAGGTTCCAAAGGGGGAATAAGGTAGATGGTTTTTCTGTTATTCTGTGATACTTTCGGTGTCTAAATTACACTACAGAAGAAAGCTGAAAGTTTTTAAAGATATTAATTTTTTGCCATATTCTGATTTTATTTAGCATTATGATTTGCCTAATGTGATGGTTAATATTGAGTGTCAATTTGACTGGATTGAAGGATGCAAAGTTTTGTTCATCAGTGTATCTGTGAGAATGCTGCCAAAGGAGATTAACATTTGAGTCAGTGGACTAGAAGAGGCAGACCCAACCTCAATCTGGGTGGGCACCATCTAACCAGCTGCCAGCGCGGCTAGAATGAGGCAGGCAGAGGAAAGTGGAAATACAGACTTGCTGAGTCTTCCGGTCTTCATCTTTCTCCCGTGCTGGATGCTTCCTGCTCTCAAACATCAGACTCCAGGTTCTTTGGCTTTTGTACTCTTGAGCTTACACTAGTGGTTTGCCAGAGGCTCTCAGGCCTTCGGCCACAGACTGCAGGCTGTGCTGTCGGCTTCTCTGCTTTTCTTTAACTCTTTTAGTATCTCCACTGAGCAGCCGTTAAGAGTGCTTGGCCGCCTTGTCTTGGCATTAATAAAAATGACAAGTAAAAGGAGAAAATAGAACTGGAATGCCCAGTTCTCTAGCATGAGGAATATTTCTTCACCAAAGACATAAAAGATAAAATTGATTTTCAGCAACTATAAATGGTGTTTTTCCCCAGTTCATAAAGTACTGATTTTTCACAATTTACCACGTCTAAAAGATCATGATTTTAGGAACCTTTGTCATCTCCTTTAAGAAAGGGTAACTTGATTTGTGTGAAGCTGTTTTTTATTATTTCCTGAACATAAATATGGCAAATCAAAATGCTTAGGAATTCCTTTCCCTTTCAGTCTTTTGAGTTAAAAATGTCATGGATTATTAAATATAAACGGAGAAATATGGCTCTATCTTTAAAAATAAGCTGCATCCCCACTTTTCCCTTAAACATAAAGACCACATATTTACAAGTCTTATTTTTATAAACATTTTTATATCAGGTGATTGGAGGAATAGCCTCTTATTTATAGACTCGTTTAATCTTTATAATCTCTCCCCAGTAGATTTCAAAGACCTTACAAGTATGCAAATCTCATTTATTTTTCAGTTTGCTGCGCTCTTGGTAAAATACCCCCCAGGCAAAAGTACAATCAAATGGCAGTAATTCAAAATAGACAGTTCGTTTAAAAAAAGGACCAGCAGCGAAAATCAAACCCTAACAAACTAAAAAAAAAAAAAAAAAAAAATTAACAACTATAATTTTGCTAGCCTAGGAAGGCATGTTCTTAAAATAGCTACAACAAAATTTGCTTAGTTTGACAAATAGCACTTTAAGAGACAATGCAACATCTGAGTAGCAAGGAATAGAACTATTTAAGGAAAAATCCACACATAATCTCTAATACTTTCTTCTGAGGGTCATCTCTTTGTGGCCACCCTAAATGGCCTCCTTATAATACATTTAATTCCAGGAATTCTGAATCCTCTAAGAAATTCACAGATGTCTGTCTCTCAAAGAACATGTAAATCTCAAGACACTAGGCACTATGTATATTTGGAACCCTGGTTTATTCTGAACCATCTCTTTCATTCTTTCTGCGTGATATATTCAGGAACAACTGCTTGTATGAGCCAGTATAACACCCTCCACTTGTACACTACCACAAAATTTAATTCCTTATAATCAAGACTATAGATATAATTCAAAAACCAGTTGGTAAGGTCCAGTCCTGTAATGAGCATTTGGACTTATTATATATGACAGACAGTAGATAGGAACTTGCGTTCTCTGTTGCTGCATAATACAAAACCATTATGTCTATAACAAGTTAGAGGTCTTAGTTTCATGTCTGGGGTTTTAAAACATAAACCATTAACGTCTTCAATGTCTTTCTTCTTGCCAGGCTGTATCAAAAGTGGAGAGAAGTCGTGCCGGTTAGGGAAAGTGGGAGACACAATAAGATGAAACAAGGAAATGGACAAGAAGAAGGAATGCAGCATCAAAGTGTTGTTACTGGGGAGCTCTGCTGTGCTGAGAGGTGACCATGGCAACAAGGGAACTGAGATGATGAGAGAAAAAACATGCTCCAACAATGTGAGCTCCTTTGTCTCTTATCAGAACACTTGATTGCTTTCAGAGTTGAGACATCCAAGTTCCGTATTGTGTTTTCTTGCTCTAGGAAGCAAATGGCTTTGGCAGGATCATAATCAAAGAATATTCAGAAAGTGCCTAAAATATGCAGTGCTTTCTATGATAGCCTGCTGGACTTCTTCTCTTGGGTATTTTATTCGACCTATTTCAAATTACTGTCAATATGAACATACCTGAAAGCTAAGGGGTAGCCCAGTGCATTGGAAGCAACACCACTGGGAAGAGCAGGTGGCTCCGTCTGCATTAGCCTGTTTGCTGGTGTGGTTGGAAGCAATCCCACACAGCTGTTTCAGGGAATGATGGCTCCATTCCTTATTAATTACTTAGTCTTCCTAACTGCCTCACTGGTTAGTCCAGTTCTCTGAAGTACTCTAGAGAGGAAGATGAAAAGTCTAGCATACTTTCTGCAGAGAGAAAATACAGTTCCAGAAGCGCTGACTTCACTAAGGCCATTTTACAAAGATAGTGCTTAGTATAGAGATAAATTTTTGATATGTCTTGGTGTTGACAGTTTTTTGGAAAAGAATGGGGCATACACATGCACACACACAATCATGGGAAAATTTTCTTAAGAATACTCCAGAGACTATGTAGTCAAATAACATAATTACACATTTAAATTGTGCTGAGACTATTGACATCACTTGTTTTCATACATGTGATGAGACAGCAGATTTTTAGGTCTAACATCACTAGGATAAAATTTGTTTTTAATTAGAGGGGATGATAATGTTCCTCTGTGTGATGATGAACCCAATGATGTTTCTAATGTTGGGTTATTTCAAAAATGTAATTTCTAGGTTGACAAATATTATCGTAAGTACACTGATGTTACGAGGAGCTCTTGCAAAGTAGAAAAGTAATGGGATGACAAGTTATCAAACATTCATTTTTTGTTAATTTATTTGATGAACTTGTTTATTGTCTTTGGTTTTCTGTTTCAAGTTACTGTTCATTCTCCCTGCACTGATTGTGAAAAGAAACTTCATCAGCTTTCAGGAATGGTACAAAACATTAATTAGATTCTTATTTGCTTATCTTCTCCTTTGCCCACATCATAGTTTTTCTTGTCTTCTTATACTATCTAGTTTTACTTAACTCTTGATTTTAGTGAAAATATAGTTTATGACAAACTAAATGAAATGTGGAGGAAAAATGAGTTCTAGGAAATTTTGCATTCATCAGGAGTTTCTGCCTCGGAGAGTAGACACCTATGTCTATCACAAAGCCATTGATAACCTTTTAGAGAAGAGTTTTTATTCCTTCTACAATATAACATCTATGACCTATGGGAGCTAGATAAGATTTCCATCTTGATTTTTGCTCTTTTCTTATTTTAAACATGATTTTACAGTAGTGGGGGTTTATGTAGCATATTTCTTCTAAGTAATTCAATAGATTTTCATATATTTCACCTCTGCTATTGCCTATGAAGTAATAACAGATATATACTATTTCCATGTCTCAGATGGAGAAATAGAGAAACAACGATGAAAAGACTTATCTGTCATTATGTGACAATTAAGGTTTGAACCTTGTTTTGAATATCATACTTTTTTTTATTAAGCAACTCTTCTGCTAAGAGAGCAAATAAAGGAGTATTAGCATAGAAAGAGAGCAGGACCATGAGAGTGAATGTGATGAGACAGATTTGGTGATATTCTGATAGACCTTTGTGGGTACTTCAATGGAGGCTCCTAGAATAAGTACGGATAACATATCTGTACTTATTTTGAAGTGAATGCACTATTATCGTTGTGGACCCATATTCTAGAACTTCAAAAATCATGCCTTTGCTTCTATCTTTAAATATTTTATTTGGAAACTCATAAAACTGATTTCCTCCTAGGAAGAAAACTCAGTGAGAGAGAGAGAATTTCCACTTCATATTGTTCTGTATCTTTCAAATATTGAACTCTGTGACTATTATGTGTTTAAAGATGTCATTAGAAATTAATTTTTTTAATTGTGTTTTAGCAAGGGACATTTTCAACTTCCTATAAAATGAAGATCTGTTCTAAACCACTGAAGAAGATCTCAAACTTTGGAATCTTGGCTCCCTGTTTTTCTGTTAGGTCCTACTCCTATTTTCTTAAACTTTTTTTTTTTTTTTTTTTTTTTTTTTTTTTTTTTTACTGAAGAATATATATGGAGAAAAGTTATATGGGAGTGGCAGCTCAGTTTATGGTGCGTATTGAAGTTGTTTATGCAACTGTATCTTCACCAGTGGAATGCCACATGTTCTATAATCTCTCCCTTTCTCCTAGCCCTTTCAGCCCTCATCCCCAAACCCACCATTAACCAGGGGAAGAAGCTTTTAAAAGCAATGCGATGAGGGTGGTCACTACTGGTAAAGGAGACTTATGAGTGCTCTACTTGGAAGCATGTGAAGTTCTAGGCACAAAAGGACTTTCTAACATGGAAAAAGGCGAGAGGTCACATAGGAGCAGGATGAAAATATGAAAGAAAAGGAAGGATACCAAGGGAAGGGAGAGTTCTGAATGCCCATGCAAGAAAACTTTAGCAGTGCCTCAAGAACCATCCACAGGCAACTGTAAAAACATTTTATCCCATTCTGTATACTCAGAGTACTTTCTCCTTGTTAAAACTTACACTGGCTCATGTCTGATTCTACTACTGTTAGGGGCTGGGGTGAAATGGCATGATTATGCTTGTGTATTATTAACACTCTGATTTTTTAAAATTCTTGAGTGTGGTAGGGAATGGGAATTTATATTCTCAGTCTCATAGGTGAAATATCTGTCATAAGCCACTGAGAAGATTTTTATTTATGTGGATTAATTTTAAAAATTTTGATTGGATTTTCAATAGTCACTGAATTTCAAGTTCTGTTCGAACCAGAACCTATCTTAATATTTATTGGCAAAAGTCATGACTCCATTAGAAGAAAGCATACAATTCTGCTCTTGATATATTTTTATTTTGCTTTGTTTTGTTTGGCAAATTCCTTTATAAATGTGATTTGACCATGTTTACTGCCCGGGAACCATCTGCCAAGGTGAAAACAGATTCACATTGTACATTGACAGAGCTTGCTTTGTCAGTAGGAAATTAATAGCTGTTTTGTTTTTATTGCTAATACAATTGATTTTATGAAATCATTTAATTGTTTTTTTGTTGATCTCAGAGTCTTGCCACATTATTAACACCTGAGATTTCTTTCCTTTTAATGAGAAAAATGGATGAAATTTATAATAACTATTTGTGTGGAATGCTACTTAACATAGCAAGGATTGTACTCAGGTATCGTTATTTGTATCTCCCCCATGTCCCTACAAGGAAAATATCTGCTAGTAGATTTTTATCTTCTGGTCACAGAATTCTACACAAAAAGTGCACAAGCTGACACATGGGAAATATTAGAATCATTAAGTGATGATATCAATGAAATATTTGCACATAAATATGGTCCAAATTGTTCTTTACAACTTATTGGACATTATCCTTTGAAAGAAGAAAGCAGTTCCATGCAGAGTATAAACTAAGTAGTGAACAAAGCTGGGGAAAATAATAGTTGGAGAATTTTTCAGGTTTTATTTTTTAAACTAGACATTCTTAGCCTGCAGACAATTTTAGTTCTCTTTTTCAACCACCTCTCCTTTAATGTATCTTAAGGGTATTTCTTAGCTCTGCCATCCTAGAAAAAGTTGACAAGGACAGGGCAACATGGTAATTGAAATAATCTCCTCTCAGTCCTTAAAGAAAATTGTCAGTGTGGTCGCTTTTTTTCTAGTGGTTAATATTATTCGGTAGAGACATCTAAAAGATTTTCTTCTCTGACTGCCCATATGACTTTAAAAATTATTCAGTTCTTCAACCTCCTAAAATAATGGCATATTTTTTCTAGGACTCTCAAGCAACATCTGATTAAAGATGGTCAAGTAATAATCCTTTTAGTCTTTTATTTCCATGAAGCCTACTGGATGATCTTAAAGGCTAAAAAAAGAACATATCTCACAAAAGGATTCAGACAATGCAGTTGTAGGTTAGGGATTAAAAATGTGGTTGCATTTTTCTAAGAATTAATAGTTGATATAATTTGTCTTTAAAAAATTGTCAAATAGGTGATAAAAAGTTTAAATAAGAGGTAACGAGGAAAAGCCTATGTCTCCACAGGAGTAAAAATTTCCATATTTTTGCTTATAATAAAGGCCAAATAAACACTGAGAAACAAAGGGACGTGCGGTAAAAGCAAAGTATCCAGGAAGTAGACTGTGCATCTGAACATTCAAAAGCTTTTCATGATTATGTTTGTAATTAAAGTAATCATATAGGAATAAATAATTTCAGTCAGTTGGTGAGATGCATGGAAGATATCTGTTTTTACAAAATGGCAAAATTATTGAAGCACTAAATTTAAGAGCTAAGTTATCTAAAGATACATAAAATATGTAAATTTTCCACAGTCAAAACACAAACATTCTAAAATTTATAGTGTATTTTCCATGTGTATTAATCAAAAATGGTCTGTTCAGATTAATGTCATGATGTAACTCACAGTGCAAACTTCTCATAAAATAATCCCAGTTATTTTACATATCCTGTACATTTGTATAAATGCATTTAATACATGTTTTCTCATATTTTCAAATGAAATGGAAGAAAAATTACTGTACATATATTTCTCTTACCAAAGCAACATCAGTTAACTATAAACCTGAGTTTGTCAAAATGGAATTCACATTCTACAAGATTAAAATTTAGCAAGGTTCTGCCTACTGAATAACAAAGTATACCAAAATTCTTCTCAAGATAAAGAGCTTACTTTAATCTTGCTACTAAAGTATCTTGTTTAAATTATTGAAAATAAAGATACAACAAATGCTACTAATTTTATTTAATTAATAAAAGATAGCCATTTGCTTTTAGTATTCAAGGTTACATTCAAGTTTATTTAGGGACTTAACATTATTTAATTATAAGGAAAAGATGTGCGTAAAATGAGGAGTATGCATTTCTCTTAACAACAACTCCAACATATTACATATTTGTTAAAATTTTTCTAAACTATTAGCTTAAATTCAAAGGTAAATAAAAATGCAGAAAACTTCACCAGAAACAGGAGGAGGAGTTTCAAGAACTACTAAGGTTCTGAGATTTTACCATATCTAAAAGCTCAAAAGTCAACCTGCCATAGTTTCATGGTGGATAACATGAGACTTCTGGTTCACAGACAAAGGAATTTATTATTCACAGCAATAGCAGAAGATAGAGTATTAGCTTCTCTTGCAGTGATCTCTCAAACCTAAATTTCCATAGGGTGACATAATGAAGGCCAGATGATACCTGCATATGCAATGGACTGTATTACAGGAAAGAAACTCTCACCTTAAAGAACACACATCTTTTATAATGGGCAATAAGCATGTCTTGTGTTTTCTCCAGTAGGAGACACTATCTGTCTTCTAGCACTGTAAGCTAACCTGCCCTTTACTTTGGAAGTAAATACTATCTCTATCTTCCCAAGTTGTTTGTTATGCAAACATCTATGAGAGAATAGTCTCAAACAAAAGGTAATCAGGTGTCTTGCTCATAAAACATGCAGAAAAGCAAGAGGCTCATAAAGAAATAGTCCCAGCAATTACCTACCACTTGCTTCTATACTTTCTTGGTTTCTGGTGAAACTTCCCATGAGTACACTGTAGGCTACTCTGATTATTCTAACAAAGCTTGGCCAAATTTGTTGAATTTGCCACTTAGAATTTGTTACAACTGAGACTTATAGCAGTCAAAGGGGTCAGTTTGATGGCCCCTCTAATATGGCTCACTGGTAAGCTGTAGGATTTCTAGTCCATTTCAGGTAATTGTATTTAGGCCTTTCTTTTGGAGGAACCACCTGAGGGTATTCATGTCACCAGCCAGGTTGAGTTCATCTGTGCTGTGGAATGACTGAACAACTGTTAGTGGAATGAAAAATGGAGAAAATATCCAGGTGGTTTGTATGGCAGGTGCAGAAACTGGGGGCTACCCTCTGCTATTTGTTTATGGTAGATATTTTCAGTACAGTTAAGAGGAATGGCAATCAAATTTTGGTCAGAGCTGTTTGGCAGGGAATGGCAGACCCAATAATCAATTAAATGTGCTATGTTTGCAATAGTTTAGGAAGGCCACACTAGGAATTTTCTTTGTGAGAATCATTCCATGGAGCAACTCTGAAAGATATTATTAATGTTCTTCACTTCCTTCACAGAGACAGGGCCATTATTGCCCCTCCACTGCCGTAAACATGGGTATGTCCTAGTTCAGTAACTTTAAACTAACTTTTTTTTTTTCAATTATCCCCTGCTTACATGTTTTGACTGGAAGGGCTGTGTGCAAGAGGGACAAAGAAATTTTATAAAACTTATAGATATCCATTATTTTCTTAATTTCAGCCTGTATGGGCCACTGCAGGGAACAGTGTAGAAAATGCAAAGAACACTGAATTCAGGCCGGCCACAGTGGCTCATGCCTGTAATCCCAGCACTTTGGGAGGCCGAGGTGGGTGGATCACGAAGTCAGGAGTTCAAGACCAGCCTGGCCAGCATGATGAAACCCGGTCTCTACTAAAAATACAAAAAAAAAAATTAGCTGGGCATGGTGTCACACGTCTATAGTCTCAGCTACCCAGGAGGCTGAGGCAGAAGAATTGCTTGAGCCTGGGAGGCAGAGGTTGCAGTGAGTGAAGATCGTGCCATTGCAATCCAGCCTGGGTGACAGAGCGAGACTCCGTCTCAAAAAAAAAAAAAAAAAAAAAAAAAGTGAATTCAGCTAAGTGGTCATTATCCATATGATTTTCCTTATAATCAAGGACCATGCCAGTCCAACAAGAGAATCCAGGTGGCTAAACCAGAATTAGGCTGGAACCCACCAGACCTCTTTGTGAAGAGTGTACTAAAAAGCTAGCCTAAGGTTACTATCAAAAGAAGAAAAAAAAATTATGTCAGAAAACATCAGGGCAGAATCTCTAATTTTTAAAATAGGTCCCTATAGCTCCCCTACCTCTATCATCCCGATCAAAGCACAGGGAGCAGTTAGTGGGGGATGATCTCTTTCTGGAAACAGCCACACTTAGTGACAAACTCCCTTACTAAGGTGTATAGACTAGAAGGAGGTTAGGAAGTAATCTTTTTGAGCTATTTTTTAATGCATGTTATTTTAACACTAAACAATACCAATGTCTGCGTATTGCAGAAAGCGTGCAAGGTCCATGGCTTAGCTAATACCTCAATTAACAATATGTGTTTGAGTAGCATTTGTGATAAAAGGAGCATCCATTGTCAGAATGCAAATTATCTGGAAAGCTAAAACCATGACACTGGGTAGTTTCAAGGTGATATATAAATGGGCCAGTCGCGGCTCCTGTACATTGACCCCTATGTTTTTTCTCCTTCAGAGCAGGCTAGGACCAATTTTCTCAAACTTATCCAGTGCCAAACTCAAGTTCTTAAACATCCAATTGCTTTAAATGTAGCCCAAATAAGCGTATTTTGGGGCATTTATTTATCCTACCTGCTTTGCATAGCCTATGAAATTGTACCCAACATCTGTTAGTCATAGATAAGATAAACTCTGTAGCTATAAAAGACCTGTGATTGTTAATTTTATGCAACAACTTGACTGGGCCTCTAGGTGCCCAGATACTCGGTCAAATATTATTCTGGGTATTTCTGGGAGGGTGTTCTTGGATGAGGTTAAAATTTTAATCAGTAGAATAAAGCAGATTCCCTCCCCGAACACCACGTGAGTGGGCCTTTTCCAATCCATTGACAAAAGACCTGAATAGAACAGAAAGAACGATTCTCCCTTGAGTGCAAGAACATTCTTCAGCAGACTGTCTTTAGCCTGGAACTGCACCATCTGCTCTTCTAGGTTTTAAGCCTGTCAGCCTACACTGCTGAGCTCAAAATTGAATACAGATTTCCTGGCTCAGCGTAAGTTTAACCAAGAACTTGTTACCCAGTGATTTTTGTAAATATTTCTATATCAAAAGCTTTAAGTAAGTCTCATCTGATTGAGATATTCAATTCTGGAAGTAAGACAAACAAACTAAATGCACTTTTAGGCTAAATCTAAAGAAAAATTTACACTAAAAAATTTGAGTAAGTGAAAATAGTGTTTGGCCTAAAATTTTCATAAATTCAACAATTTAGTTGAATCATAAAAACAAAAACTTGCTTAACTGATGTATTATTCTCTCCAAAAAATAATTGTCAGTCATAACTTTTCAATCATGGTCTTTGTTCTCTAATTCCCAGTTCCAGACTATATTTGACTTTTGCTTTGTATTTGCTTTGTGTCCTCTGTTTATAGGATATGCTTTGTGAGCAGAAACCTGACCCTGTTGGAGCTTTCTAAAAGTTTATAATGTATAATAATGGCAAAAATTCATTTCTAAGATAAATTCTTTGAATAAACAGAACTCAAGCTAATTCCACTATTTATAATAACTGTCTATTATTCTACCATATATGGCATACTGAACATTTTTATTTGGAAAAGTAAATGAAAATCAAACCCATTATATATTGTCTCCCCTGTACATATATTTAACTATTCTTAATTTTCTATTAAGTGCTCTCCTTTGTTATCATTTTAATCATTAAAAATAATATTAAGACTCAACCATAAGATTTACAAATATAAAACACTAATTGTAAAAACTTGTTAATTTTATTTGAAATTATTTATATTTGTACTCTATTGCTATCTTTGGGGCTGCAGGAAAGGAGACTCTTGCTTATTTGAATCACAGATATTTTAAATATTTCATAAACTGAGGCTGGGTTTTCACTATGTAGAGCATGATAAGAATGAGAGTGATAAGAACGATTCTGTCAGCATGACCTTGGAGTAGGCTTTATGTAAAATGGGCCTGGGTTTGATCTAACTTCAATGTTTCCAGTGTTAATTATTTGTGCTACTACAACAGTCTGCTAGGGTGGCCATAACAAAATACTATTGACAGGGTGGCTTAAACAACAGAAATTCATTTTCTCACAGTTCTGGACAGTAGAAGTCCAAGATCAAGGTTCTGGCAGGGTTGCCAGAAAAGTTAGTTTATAATGAGGCCTCTCTTCTTGGCTTGCTGATGGCCACCTACTCACTATGTCCTCACATGGCCTTTCTTCTGTGTTTGCACACCTCTGGTGTCTCTTTCTCCTATTAGGATACCAGTCCTATCAAATTAGGAGCCTGCCTTTATGAACTCACTTAATGTTAATTACCTCCTTAAAGGTCCTATCTCCAAATACAGTCACATTGGGAGTTAAAGCTTTAGCATATAAATTTTGGGGAGAAATAATTCAGTCTAAAACAGTGACCCTAGGCAAATAATTAACCTGAACCTCTGCTTCTCTTTGTGTAAAATGGAGATGTTAAGATGTTAAAGTTACCTTGAAGATTCATTATAATTCTGATTATTAAATGAGATATGATGTGTCAAATTCCCAACATAATAGCAATGCTTAATAAACTACACACACACACACACACACACACACACGCAGAGAGAGAGAGAGAACTGTTATTCTCTTTATGAATTTTCCACCCTTAGCCCTGACTCTCCATCTCCCACTGGTTGCTGGTTATTGCACAGGTATTCAAGAAGCAAGGGTAGCGGCTGCACTAATCAAAATGTAATCACAGAATACCTTTAAAACTAATAGTATTCCTTTAGGAATTAACTAAAATCAGTTTGGCTGTAGGTTAGGTCCCTCTTTTGTGATTGTCTATATTTTGCCTAAGTCTCTGTGCTCTTGAAAGATGGGAATTTATTCAGGGTATCCTTAGCAAATAAATGTGATGCAAATAGGCCCCCCAAAAAGTGTAATAGTTTGATATAGTATTCAAACCTCAACCTATAAGAAAGCCAAACAAGGTACATTTAGGTTAAGTGAGTTGCATAGGATTGCACAACTAATTTTTCACAATGATGAGCTCATTACCTAGGTTTCTTAACTCCTATCCAATACATTTTTTAGTTCATCTTAATTGTTTGCCTTACTTATTAGTTAAGTGACTTTGGCTCTCTAAACATGCCACTTGTTTTTTCATTTGTAAAATAGCAATATTATAGGGTTTTATCCATAGGATTTTTATGAGAATTAAATGTTTTTTTTTAAAGCAGAGCAGAGTGCCCAACATATTGTAATGATCTATAAAATTAAATTTTTATGATAATTTCTAACAGCATAATTAGGTTACCATTATCTCCTGGTCAGTTTCTTTACCTGCAGGTGCAATTTTTCACATCTAATTCCTTGAGGTAAATAACTGTTTTGTGACTGTTTTCCTCAGCCTTACTTTCAGAACTCTCCAAAACATAGCCTATGTGACCACTTGGTATGAGTTCATACTATACACCAACTTGAACCCCTGGCTCCAGTCCTCCAGTCACCAGTGTTTTCATTGGTTCTGTGTAATTCTCACTCTCAGAAGCACCCTTCTCTGGCAATATTCTATCAGATTCTAATCATTTTGAAAGGTGAAGATCAAGTTTACTTTCCCATTAGCCCCTTTCTCAATCATTGTTGTACATATTATTTCTCTTTCATTAGACTGAACTAATTCTAGTCTGATTCTTAGTCACTTCAATTGGACTTTTAGATAAATCATTCATCCCATATTCTCAAATAGAAATAAAATCTCAACAAGATTTTAACCACATCCTTTTGAAGCCTATTGGCTGGGAGTGACAGAGGATGGTAGAATCATATTCTTCTAGCTAATGGGAGTAACATTTACAATCAGATAAAGTTTTTATTTGTGCAGTCATTACGCAAAACATTTTGGTCATAGGAGACACAAGTTAGAAAGAGTATGGGTTACATCACTGCTAGGAAGCTTCAGGTTTAGTATCCCTCAGCTTAAATACTTTCTTAGTCACTCAGCACTAGAATGTACATTAGTCTTAAAAATATGTAACCAATGATGTGTGATTTCAGGCACAGTGGGATTTATGGCCCAAAGGAGAAACATAAGAGTATATAGATGGGATTTATATTGATCAAATAATTGATACTTGAGGATGCTGTAGCATATGACCTAAAAATTGAAGAATGAATAGTATTTTGATATACAGAGACATGAGAAAGGAGGCACATATTGGGAGAGTGAAAGGGTATTCCAGAAATAGCTTTATCAAAGAAGCAAGTTTAAATAAAAAGGAGGGCATATCAAGAATAGGACAAGTACTGTGGGCCTGAAACTTATATAATTTATGCCCTTTTTTTTAAAGAATACACATTTGAGAATAAAAATTTGATACAAAAGAAAATATTTTGAATGGGAAATGAAATCCCACAAAATTCCTGGAATCTTGGAGATTCAGGACTTTTCCTTCTGAGATATCTTTAGGCAATTTTTCAGAAATGCTGCCACAGAAGTGCTTCCTGATTGCAACCTGACTTCCAGGTCTTCTCTCAGAATTCTCTATTGAGAACTCCCAGTAATTTCTAGCATTCAATGATCTATGCAAGTAAGCAGTCCTGGCCTATCAAGTTCATCAGGCTCATGGTAAATCTGTGATTAAGAATGATAACGTTATAGGTAAGTAACATAACAGGAGAGAGAGGTAGAAGGTGTGGGGATAGTGCGGTTATGAAAGATCAACTTTAAATAGGGAAAAATGAGGTCAATCATGGGATGCCTTAAAAGCCATCTAAGCTATTTTGGATTTATTCATTGAAGAAGTATACAAGGAGCTTGGAGCAGTAAGTTTTGTAATTCAGGACTTCTTTTCTTATAATAGAAACCACACAGAAAATGATTTGCAGAGATACGTCATTTTTCCTGCAGCTAAAATGGAATATGTATTCATATAGGAATTGATTTGATCACCATTCCAATCTAATGTGAGCTATGTATAGGAGGTGACTTACGATAGGACTTCAATGGCTAACTTTGTACTCATTAAAAGGTATTTTTCATTTTCATGCCCTTAAAAAAACAAAAGTACTCATCAAAAGAAATTTGATAGAATTTTTATTATTTCCTTATCTTTCTTTAAAAGTGATTTTATTTTAATGACATGTACTTAGGAAAATAATGGGATGGAGTTTCATGATATGCTATTTTGATGGAGACAACTACTTTTATTACTAAGCTCCCATACATAGGGCAGAGAAACAGAGTATCAAAAGAAAGATAAAATATTGATAAGAATTTTTTTCAATTAGAAATATGAGTACAATTGCATATTTGAGACAAATAAAAAATTAAAGTGAAAGCTAAGCTAGCTCTATTTTGTCTTTTCCCTGTCCTGTGAGAGTCCCCATTTGTGTTATAGGGGCCAAGGGTTATAAGCCCCTATGAAATGCCACTCAAAATGCTAATACAGCTTGGAAATTATTCCTTCAAGTGACCCCTTAGAGGGGAACTGTATCAGAGTGGAGATGCTTTCTGACAAGTGAGGATTAGACATGGGTGTTCTGTTTTCACATACACTGTAAATCTAGTATCCTTTTATATAAGGAGGGTTGGGTGTTTTGACAAATGTACTGAGATGGTTTCCTTGTTCTGCAGTGAATATCTGTTTTACCATCTTGTAGGACAGCAAATATACATCCTCTTTACCCTCTCAACTTCAGCTTCTCAGGTGCTACAGCTTGTCTTGTGTTCAGTTAGGTCTCTGCTCCTGCTATGTGAGGCTAGCCTAGCACCCGATTTTACTTGCCCTGTTTCTTAGAGTGTTGTCCTAATATGTCTTGTGTCTGAGTGACCAAAGGAATTTATTAAAAAGCAGATTGTTTAAGGTCTGAGTCCAGAATAGTATCTAGGAATCCACACTTTTGCCAAGCTCTTCAAATATTTCCTAGGAGCCTCAAATTTGAAAGACTCTGTTCATGACTAAAATACAAAACTTAAAAGAGATTCTTGTCCCAACTCACCAGTATTCAGCAATGCAATACAACACTTTGAGTATGTGTCTCATTTTTCTTACTTGTAAGATAAGATATGCTTATAAAATGGTCATTATGGATCTAACATGAATACTCTCTATACTAAGTTACATTAGGCTCTGGTAAAACCTTTCGCCTTTACCACTTCCCCATTTCCCTTTCTATACTGCTCCCTAGTCCAGAAGTTCTCAAAGTGTAGCCTTGGTACCAGCAACATCATTATTCATCATCTGTGAACTTATCAGAAATGCAAACATACATGTCCTATATTGTCTCCTCCTCACTCCAAGTCCTATTAAACCAGGAAATCTAGGAGTGTGGCTCAGTCTTCCAGATGATTCCAGTGCACATTGAGGTTGGAGAATTCGATCTTAATTTCTTTCTTTCCTATCTCTGTTGCCTACTCAGGAAATAATGGAAATTGTTCAATCATATCACACCGAGTTCATTAAGAACGTCTGTATCTCATTAGAATATCTTGGTAAGAGAGTAAGTGCTAGGCCCACAGAAATAAAGTAGAAACTGAAAAAAAATAAAAAAAAAAGGTTATTTTAAATCCTTGAGGGAAAATATTTTGATGAGGTTAGTGAGGGTGTCATCAAAGAGTTATGCACTTTATGCTTGATCTACACCTGAAAGTATCTTAGTCCATTTGAGTTGCTATAAAGAATTACTGAGGCTGAATAAGTTATTAAAAAAGAGGTTTATTTGGCTCACAGTTCTGCAGGCCATATAAAAAGTACGGTGCCAGCATCTGCATGTGTTGAGGGCCTCATGGCAAAAAGTGAAGGGGACTTAGCTAGTCACGTGGTGAGGGAGGAAGCAAGAGCGAGGAGAGGGAGATGACAGGCTCTTTTTAACAAACAGTTCGCATGGGCACTAATAGAGTGAGGATTCATTACCATGAAGATGGCAACAAGCCATTTGTAAGGGATCTGCCCCTGTGACCCAAACACCTCCCGTTAGACTCCACCTCCAACGCTGTGGAACAAATTCAATGTAGCCTTAAGGAAGCCAAACAAACCATATCCAAAACAGAACAATATCCCATTGCCAATATCTCGTCCTGTGCAGATCCATTGGAATGTACCTGACTTATATCAACCCCCTCCAAGGTTTCTTTTCTATAGAACAACAAATAATAGATAAATTAATACATGCTGATATACAATTATGTTACTCAATACATGTAGCTTATAATTTTATTGGGCTCTTCTGAAGATGATTCCCCAATCCTACATGTTGGAAAAATCCAGGTAACATGGTAGATTGAGAGGTAGAAAGAGAGCTTCCATGAAGCTTGTTCTATCTCCTCATGACTCTTTCTTCAAAGGGAGTTTACACTTGTACCTGAAATATTTACTTTAAAAAAACATTAAAGGGAAATCTGATTGCAGTCTTATGTCATTTAAAAGGCAAGTAAGTAAGTACTAACTTTACCATGACATTTACATGAATGTATATTTTAGCTCAATGTAAAGAAAACTTTTCCAAGAACTAAAACTGTCTATACTAA
This sequence comes from Homo sapiens, assembly GCF_000001405.40. Classification (NCBI taxonomy): domain Eukaryota; kingdom Metazoa; phylum Chordata; class Mammalia; order Primates; family Hominidae; genus Homo; species Homo sapiens. The sequence goes on along the minus strand of NC_000006.12, from coordinate 95,832,774 downwards.
AAATTCAAGCAGCATACTGTACATATTAAGAGCACATTCTGTGGAAGCCAAAGGATCTGAGTTCATATTTTGTGACATGTCTTATTTTTTGTTTGACCTTGAACAAAATAGTAAATGCTCAAAACCTTAGTTGTCTTAAAAAATAACACTAAATTGTCTTCTTCATAGGGTCATTGTGATAATTAAGTGTGATATTTGTTAGGTATTTAGCACAGTCCCCAGGACAAATGAGCACTTAGTAAATGGTAGCTATTATTTTCACAGTTTCTAGCAGAGGCTGAATTACCACCTTGCAGTGATGCCAAAAAGAGAGGGATGAAAGAACTGCTAACATCTATTTTAAATCTATGAACTTGAGACCCTAGAAAGCCATATATTCTCTAGTTTTTACACTTACATGAAGACTACTTCTAGAAAATAATTAAATGTGAAAAAAATTTCCTCAAAAAAATTTTAAGATTGCATTTTGGCTGGCTTACTTTTTCAGGGATCCATACAACAAATCCTAAATAATCCTTTCAATGGTAACTATTTTCCCCTTTGAAACTTTTCCACATTTGTAACACAGTTTCTTTGAGGATATTTTCATCTCTCACATAAAAGTTCAAACATGGACAGGCATCCATGTTAACATGCAGGTTATCTCCATCACTTACGTCAAATTCCATGAAGCTCATGGAACACTGGGTTTGCCTCAAATGCTATATTGTCTCTGGAGGAGTGGCCTTTTTCTTTTTCTAGTCTGCTTCAACATTGTTTTCTAGACATAGCTTTCTATTTCCCCTGAGTTAAGAGACTGATAAAAGTTTTTATCAATCTGACAAGTTATTTCTTGCCATTATTCAAGATATTTGACATTTGGAGGGTTTTAATGTGTACATTCTTTGATGGCATTTGAAAAACATCCATTAAGAATCAGCAATATTCTGATAAATCTCAGAGGAGCTTTTCTCTGCTATCCTCAGAAAATGTGATTTTAAATGAACAATGAATGCATAAAAGTCTTTTTTTTAAGTGGGAAAAACATTCTCCTTTTATCTCATAAACAAAAAGATACATTTTCCAAATGAAACCAAATATGAGACTCTAATACAATTTTAAACTATCACAGTGCCTTTGATTATAAATTTCATATATTGCTTATGAGTCCTGTGGATGTTTTGGCAAATTTTTGTTAGAGTAAAAGCAGAAATGTAACTCCAAAAAGTGAACCCTTTATATCTGTCACTTGTTACAATCCTTCTTGACTTAATTCCTGGCCAAGTAGATGTACCATTAATAATTTATTTATGTTAGTATTGACTTCATTTGCTTTCACACTGGGTGCAGGCCCTTTGGGAACCTAGAATGCCAATAGAGTGGATTTCAGTCAGAGATTTATGGAGTCAATGATCTTGGGTCCACAGCAACAATCTAACAAATGACTCTGGCAGAGGTGAGTGGGCATTCAGTGTCAGAGACTTTGGAGGCAATCCATTTATGAGAATCAATAATCATAACTCAGTCTGGGGCCCCTAGTTTGTAATCTACACAGCTTTGTTTATTATCAACCCACTCTGGTAAAAAATAAAAAAAAATAGAGCTATTGCATGTTCTTTTCCATGTAATTTTGCATCGGTATTATAAAGCTTTTACTATACTTGCATTTACATAAAATTCTAAGGGCAGTATTGAGTCAGAGGGAAAGTGATATGGTTTGGCTGTGTTTCCCCACCCGAATCTCATGTTGAATTTTAATCCTCAGTGTTGGAGGAGGGGTCTGGTGGCTTGGTGGCAGGTGATTGGATAATGGAGGCAGACTTTCCCCTTGCTGTTCTTGTAATAATGAGTGAGTTCTCATGAGATCTGGTCTTTTAAAAGTGTGTAGCACTTCCCCCTTGACTCTCTTCTTCCTGCCCTGGCCATGTGAAGACGTGTCTGCTTCCCTTTTGCCTTCCACCATAATTGTAAGTTTCCCGAGGCCTTCCCAGCCATACTTCCTGTACAGCCTGCACAACTGTGAGTCAATTGAACCTCTTTTCTTCATAAATTGTCCAGTCTCAGGTATGTCTTTATAGTAGTGTGAGAATGGACTAATACAGGAGGAAACAACTTGAATTTAAAACCATAAACAATGGGCAGAAACCTTCTTAATAGCTTTAAAATTTTAGATACAAATTAAAAGGAGCATAGGTTACATCACTGCTTGAAAGCATCAGGGTTTAGAATTCCTCAGATTAAATATTTTGTTAGTCACTTAGAACTAGAATGTTCTTAGACTTTGGACTCTGTAGCAGTGATTCTTTTAAAGAATTTTATATATAATATTTTTATGATACTTTCATTGCTCCAATTTTACAAAAATGGGAAGCAAAACACAGAATTTAAGTAACTTGTCCAGAGTCTCTAGCTTGTATCAGGGTAGATGCGATTCAAATCATGACAATTGAACTTCAGGGTCCATGTTCTTAACAATTACACATACTGTCCTTAACTATTAAACATAGAATAACTTATTATATAGAATTATGTAAAAGATAGGGAATAAGCTCTTATTTATTAATATTATAGTAACTAGGTGTTTCAAATATTATTGTCCCAGAATACATGCAAGTTAAAATTTATATGTAGCATCAAACCCATTTTACAGATTAGGGAAATAAATTTCAGAGCGATAAAGCAATTTGCCATATATTCTATGGTTAAGAAGCAGCAGGTCTGAGATTTAACTTTAAATCTTCCTGAACTCAAAAATTAAATTATTTGTAGTTTATCATATTGACCTTAATAATCATAAATAATATTTCTGCCTGTTAGAAGTTTAAGCCCTAAAGTTACCCTTTAGAATTTTATTGGTTGAATGTACAGATGGTTCTGAAAAATACAGTAAACCTCTAAAGTATATTGCTATGCTTAGAAGAAATTGAAATATTCTTTTTGTCTCCCTGTAGTGACTGAAATTTCTTCAGGAATAGTAATTTCCTATTTTATAACATTATAAAATATACACCTTAATTCAACTGAAAGCTCAAATAGATTTTTCAGCATTCAGTAAAGAGAATGTGATATATACATAAAATGTCTTCTCCATAAACTAGGCAACTGATTCCTGCAATTATAGATAATCATTAGATAACAAAACCTTTATCAGCTATTTTAACCTTGAAAGAATCTTTACATTGTTGATGCATAATGCACAAGGGAGTGCTCTCTTGGTAACTGCAAATATATGTGAAGGTATAAATTAGTATAGGTAGGGAAGAAAGATTCAGATTTGCTACAGAATTCATATCCAATTTGGAGTCTTAAAATAACTGAAATCTGGCTCTTCATGGGGGCATAGTTTCAAACCATATTGAAAGGGTCAAGAGTAATGGATATTTGATATGCAGCTATACTGCAGCAATTACATTTTTATAAGGTTAATTGGAGTCATATGGGTAGTTTAACACAGCATGGTTCTTTTAGTACTTCTGAATAACCCACTTGACTTGAAAGTCCTCAAATCAAGTCTTACATTAGAGGACCATTTTAAAAGCACAGATATCTAGTGCCAAATGGTCATGAGAATCTGCTCTATTTTATTTTACTAGATTAATGACAAAAATCTGCGACTTTGATAGAAGTAGCAATAATAGGATAAGACTAACCAAAGTAGACAAAACCAACAGTTCAGATACATAATTTGTGAAGACAGGGAAGTAGCTAGCAAATAAGTCTAGGGACATCAAGGTGGGGTGTATTAATGTGGGTTTAAAATGAAATTAGAACCTAGATATAAAAAATAGCTCAGGACTTGCCATTTCTTCTCATAGGGCTCCTGAAAGAAAAATATGCCCAGAAAAAGCAAAATTACCATTTTACTGTGAGTAGACTTTGCCTTGAATCATCTGTGACTCTTTAATGGACTAGCCAGAGGTAACATAAGATAGAAACAAAGTAAGCCCAAATAGGCCAAAACCAAAGTAGGTGAAAGATCTTTTCAGTTTATATCCTCCGCAAATCCCAATCTTATTTCAAACTGCAATTTGAAATAAGTCTAAATCATATGTACTTTCTTAAAGAACATGAAGAAAAGGTAAATTGTCCCAATGCCAAAGGTGAAGCCCCTCACTTGATTTCCTGCCTTGGAGCTTTTCGTAAGTGTTTCCTGTAGTGTCTTCCTTAGCTATGTGGAAAAAGATCAGTTAAAGAAAGAAAGATGCCACCCTGACCCATAATCCTTTTGAAATACCTTCCCTTTGAAGTATAGCCCATTACAGTATCTTCAACTTGAAAAGCTAGGATTAAAACCTTTCTTTTTGGGGATGAAGTTGAGGCTAGTTTATGGAAGCAGGGAGCAGAAAAAAAAAAGTTGATTTTCTTCTAGATAGAATAATACCCCTGACTTTACCATGTACCTTTTATTAAACCCTTAGGTTTAATAGCAA